>NC_000001.11:242699273-242850788 GCF_000001405.40 Homo sapiens | reverse complement strand
ATGGATGGGTAAAATCAATATTGTGAAAATGACCATACTGTCAAAAGCAATCTATAAATTCAATGCAATCCCCATCAAAATACCACCATTATTCTTACAGAATTAGAAAAAACAATCCTAAAATTCATATGGAACCAAAAAAACAGCCTGCACACCCAAAGCAAACCTAAGCAAAAGAACAAATCTGGAGGCATCACATTACCTGATTTCAAACTATACTATAAGGCCATAGCCGCCCAAACAGTATGGTACCAGTATAAAAATAGGCACATAGACCAATGGAAAAGAATAGAGAACCCAGAAATAAACCCAAATACTTACAGCCAAATGATCTTTAACAAAGCAAACAAAAACATAAGGTGAGGAAAGGACACTGTTTTCAACAAATGGTGCTGGGATAATTGGCTAGACACATGTAGGAGAAGGAAACTGTAACCTCATCTCTCACCTTATACAAAAATTAACTCAAGATGGATTAAGGACTTAAATATCAGACCTGAAACTATAAAAATTCTAGAAGACAACATTGGAAAAACCCTCTAGGCATTGGCTTAGGGAAGGATTTCATGACCAAGAACCCAAAAGCAAATGCAATAAAAACAAAGATAAATAGCTGGGACATAATTAAGCTAAAAAGCTTTTTCACAGCAAAAGGAACAGTCAGCAGAATAAACAGACAACACGCAGAGTGGGAGAAAATCTTCACAATCTACACATCAGACAAAGGACTAATATCCAGAATCTACAATGAACTCAAACAAATCAGCAAGAAAAAAACGACCCCATCAGAAAGTGGGCTAAGTACATGAATAGACAATTTTCAAAAGAAGGTAAACGAATGGCCAACAAACATATGAAAAAATACTCAACATCACTAATGATTAGGGAAATGCAAATCAAAACCCCAATGCGATACCACCTTACTCCTGCAAGAATGGCCATAATCAAAAAATCAAGAAACAGTAGATGTCGGTGTGGATGTGGTGAAGAGGAAACACTTCTACACTGCTGGTGGGAATGTAAACTAGTACAGCCACTATGGAAAACAGTGTGGAGATTCCTTAAAGGACTAAAAGTAGAACTACCATTTGATCCAGCAATCCCACTACTGAGTATCTACCCAGAAGAAAAGAAGTCATTATATGAGAAAGATACTTGCACATGCATGTTTGTAGCAGCACAATTCACAATTGTGAAATCGTGGAACCAACCCAAATGCCCATCAATCAACAAGTAGGTAAACTGTGGCATATATATACACAATGGAATACTACACAGTCATAAAAAGGAATGAATTAACAGCATTTGCAGTGACCTGGATGAGACTGGAGACTATTATTTTAAGAGAAGTAACTCAGGGATGGAAAACCAAACATCGTATGTTCTCACTAATCTGTGGGAGCTAAGCTATGAGGACACAAAGGCATAAGAATGACACAATGGATTTTGGGGACCTGGGAGGAAGGGTGGGAGGGAGGTGAAGGATAAAAGACTACAAATAGGGTGCGGTATATACTGCTTGGTTGATGGGTGCACCAAAATCTCACAAATTACCACTAAAGAACTTATGTAACCAAACACTATCTGTACTCCAGTAGCCTATAGAAAAATAAAAAAGAAAAGAAAAAAATTTTTTGGTATATACCATAGCAGGCTCACTATTTCTCTTTTTTTCAAAAGTGTTTTGTTGATTCTTACAACCTTTCTGTTTGATTGTTCATTTTTAAAAACATTCTTAAAATGAGATTTGCTTTCACTTTCAAATGAATTAGCTTTGTCAAGTTATGCGGAAAATCCTATTAGAAGTATTTCTTGGTATTGGACTAGATTTGTAAGTTGATTGGGTGCAGTTGAAATCTTTAAAAACCACTATTAAATTTGTGGATTTAAGCCCAAAAGACCCTAAATAGTAATCAGAAAAATCATGATGATTGCAAAACTTGGACTTTCTAGCATTTGTGCACTATACTGTATATGGTAGATATTCTCTTGGTGTCTTTATTATTGTAGTTAACTAATAACAAATCACCAATGTAGATTTAAAACTGAGAGTAAAAATTCTTTTCCAAGGAATATAAAAATGACGCTGAATTATTATATATACTCCAAATGCATAAAATGCTATTTCTTATTTTCTTCTGATTTATGATTTTCTGAAACGTGGGTAAGACTGAAAAATAGTAACTTCATTTCTTTAAACCAGAATAGTTTCTAATGATTTTTTCTCATCAGTAGCTTAAAAATGAAGCTTCCATTTGTCTACTGATTCTTCCAAATTTAATGGCAGATTGGGGTATAATGATTTCAGATTCTCAGCACTCAGTAAAATCTGCCAAATAGGCTCCTTTCAATTGCAATTATGTTTTGTCAGATTTATAGGATGTTTCATACATGAGGGATGAAAAGATCCAAATTTTGCTTTATAGAAAAATTCTCTCTCTGATCAATAGGATTTGTGGAGTTGTACCCCATAAAGTTTAGTTGACAAGAGGCCATTGGTTGAAATAAAATTATAAGACAGGAATAAAAATAATAATGTGCTTTGTATGTCAGATAAGACACTGGTTAAAAAGATTGAAGTTATTCCCAGAAATTTGTTTTAAGCATCAACCAATATTTGATAGGATGCTGCTGAAAAAGTTCACAGGTTCATAAAATAGTAAAGCAAGAAAGATCCTTAAAAATAACTATAAGTCCCTTCTTTTTTACATATTAATCAGGAAACTTAGATAATAAAGTTAAATAACTTGTGCAGTCTCCCAAACCTAACAGTAGATGGGACAAGAAACTAAGTCTCCTACCTTCACAATAATAGTCTTTCCCAGTTATTTATTCTTCACTTAAAATAGTGAAGAATTAAAAACATAAAATAGTTAGGATACTCTGTCACTACGTGAACTTCAGTAAACTCTACTCTCTCACTTACACATAGTTTTATAAACCTAAGATGAGGTTTATGGACAGGATACAAAGGCAAAAAAAAAAAAAAAAAGCTAATCAAAAGGCCAAAATTTGTTTGACTTGACTTTTTCATGTAGAAATTATTTCAGGCCAGGTCATTGAATAAGTAGAGATTGATGGGAGAAGAATTAAAAATAGGGCCAGAGTGTAATAGTGAGATGGGGGTGGGGGAATCAAATTAATAAGCTTTAGATTTATATTTAAAACTCAGTATTGTTGGGCGAAGGCTTTCAAGATTTCAGCACTGGACAGCTCCTTCACTAAAAAATGGAACTTCAGTAAGGGAGTTATGCTGCTGAACACTGAATTGGAACTTCCTCCTTCCAGGATACCAAAAAGAAAATTGTTTCTATGGCAGAGCTTTTGTAAGTCCTGGTATGTAAGTAGGAATATGAAGTAACGCAGTTTAGAAATGTTAAATTAGCTAAGCATCTGGATTAATTAAATTTTTAGTAGAAGAGAGATGCACATAGACTGAATAGGCCATTTGAATGTACAGTGGGACTTAAAGCAAGATCTTTTGTGTCCTGAATTGGGAACTGGAAAACAATGTGTCAGGTGCTGAACATCATAAAAGTCTTTGTTTTTGGGGAAGACCCTAAAGGGGATAAAGGAGGGCATGCTAGGTGATATTATGATCATCAGCAAAGCTATTGAGAATTCAAGCACAGAACAATGTACCTGCCACTAGCTAATATGAATAATTCACTGAGCTACTTATTTTGTCTTCAAAGAATGAAACAATCTGCTTAACTTTTATTTTTAATGTTTTGTCTGAATTAATTGTTACATTGGTGCTGGGTTGATATAATATGGCTTTATGCCTCAACGTGTACAGAGTTTCATACCTCAAAGTTGTGATCAGCTCAGGCTTTCTTTCTGAGGGTGATATTGAGCTTCTGCAGTCTAAGTTCACTCTGGGAAGAGCTCTCCAAAATTCTCTGTTAACCTGTAAAACAAAAAATTATGACTGCATCATTGCTTAATTATCAAAAGATCAACATCATTTTTCTTTCTAAGGTTTTCAGCAAATAAAACAAAACTTGGGTTTTATGGTTTCTTTTCAATTTCAACTAAATTAAATATTTATTTATGAAAGATATGGAGTTTACAAAGTTTATATCTAACATTGCATATGGAGTTAAGAAACCTCATTCCTTTTGGGCATAGAACTATGGTATTTAGGTTCTTTCTACTCCTAGAAAAGTGCTGAGCCAGAAAAATCAGGAGTATATATATAAAGTTTACAACTCATGATGTACTCATAAGCCCTAGTTGCCTGAATAACTTTTCCTTTCAATCTCTCATCTTTCCTACTGATATGTAATATGGCAATAAAAGATAAATTTCATGATGACTGTTTGGTGCCCATTCTTCTTTCCTATGCCTTCTCCATCTTGAATGTCAAAAAAGGGTTCTGTCACGTAGACTCTCACAGAAAATTAGCTAAAAGGTGATATTTCAGTCCAGCTCTCTGAACTGGAACTGAGTCTACAGAGTTAGGTCCTGCTTTGTGGATGTTTGGCAGCATCGAAGTGTAAGAGAGCACTGGGTCACTCTACCAGGCTCTGGAATTATTATGTTAGTGCTTCCAGTGTGCAGTCTGGAGCTGTAGTCTAGAAAGAGAGCAGCAGTTGTTTGCATCCCTGAATAGAAAATTTATGACAGGATGGCTTATATGCAGTATTACTGGCACACAGTCTTGATTGTAATCAATATCTGAAGTCCCATTTTGATTGCCAGCTCCACAAACATATATTAGGGCAGAAACTAGATATTCTTTTCTATCTTATTAAAATTGCAGTGGAAAGCTCATTTGTCCCTAAGATTTTCATTGACATTCCCTTATACCATATGAAGATCACAATACACTCTTTCAAATGTTTTTAGTAAACAGGCCAGTTAGATTAAGGAAGAAAGCTTAAAGTCAGTATTCATAAAACTATTAAAATGTTTCCTGATAAGGTGTTAATATCGAAAATATATAAGAAACTCCTGCAATTCAATAGCATAAAAGCAAAAGCCCTATTAAAAATGGGCAA
The DNA here is from genome assembly GCF_000001405.40 of Homo sapiens. Taxonomy (NCBI): domain Eukaryota; kingdom Metazoa; phylum Chordata; class Mammalia; order Primates; family Hominidae; genus Homo; species Homo sapiens. The sequence goes on along the minus strand of NC_000001.11, from coordinate 242,845,785 downwards.
AGGACTTGAACAGACACAATGGCCAACAGGTATATAAAAGGTGCTCAGCATCACTAATTATCAGAGAAATGCAAATCAAAACCACAAGGAGATATCACTTTACACCTGTAATAATGGCTCTTATCTTTTTTTTTTTAAGAAGAGAAGTGTTGGTGAGGATGTGGAGAAAAGGAAACCCTGGTACACTCTTTCTAGAAATGTAAATTGGCAGTCTTTATGGACAGTATGGGAGTTCCTGAAAAAATTAAAAATAGGGCTACCATATGATCCAGCAATCTCACTCCTGGGTATTTATCTAAAGAATTGGCATCAGAATCTTAAAGAGATAACTGCATTTTCACGTTTATTGCAGCACTATTCACAATAGCCAAGATATGGAAACAACCTAAATGTCTATCAGTGGACAAATGACTAAACAAAATGTGATATATACATACAATGCAACCAATAAAAAGAAAATTTTTGCCATTTGCAACAATGTAGATGGACCTGGAGGACATAATGCTAAGTGAAAAAAGCTGGGAACAGAAAAACAAATACTGTAGGATCTCACTTATGTACAGAATCTAAAATAGTAAGACTCATAGAAACAGAGTCTAACCATAGTTGTCAGGTGCTGGGGAGTTGGGAGAAATGGGGAGATAATGGTCAAAAGGTACATTTCAGTTATGAAAGACAAATTCTGAAGATTGAATAGACAGTATAATGCCTGTAGTTAACAATACTGTACTGTATACTTAAAATTTGCTAGGAGGCTAGATCTTATGTTAAGTATTCTCACAATAAATAAAGAAATGGAATGGGAGGAAACTTTTGGAGGGGATGGATACATCCATGGCCTTGATGTTGGTGATTGTTTCAATGGTGTATACTTATTTCCAAACTCATTGAGTTGTAAACGTAAAATATGTATAGCTTTGGGCATGTAAAAAGAAAAAAGAAAAATTGCTATACTGTGATTTTTAAAAACATACATTTTATGGTGTTAGGACATTCCAACGTAAAAAAAATTCCTTCCAAGGCCTAGAGAACCCCCCCAGGCAACTTTCATCTATGAAGATGAGTCTGTGTTTATAGTAACTGTATCAGTGATGCCTTCTCATTCATAATAACTTGTCTCTCTCCCATTTTACATAGAAAATACCCAGGGCTAGATGGCATACCACTTAGGAATGACTTTTTAAAAATTCCATTATAAAAAAGATCAATTGAATGATTTGTTTGAAATCAGCAGAAGTAATCAAACTATCTTTATAAGTAGTTAAAGTTTGGGCCCGTGTATTTTATGCCAGCTGTCCTTTTTGCTTGCAATCCTCTTTTCTATTTTGACTGCCTAGAAACTTCTCTTTATACTTCAATATCCAGTTTAGATGTGACCTCCTTGGGAAACCTACTCTGACCATCATAGATAGAAGAATGGTGAATATTCTGTTTCTTATTCTGGTAACAAACTGCCCTCACACATATTGTAACACTTTCCAGAGGGGTATTTATGAAACCAACCCAATAGTTCCATAGACTTTTCTTTTTGATAAACATAGAAATTGATCTTTCTGCTGTTAAAGCTTGAAACTTGTATTTGTTTTATCTGAGTGCCTTTCTCAGAAAAGGATCATCAGGCCTCTCAAAAAAAAGTATCAAAGGGCCAGGTGTGGTGGCTCACACCTGTAATCTCAGCATTTTGGGAGGCTGAGGCGGGCAGAGATCACCTGAGGTCAGGAATTCGAGACCAGCCTGGCCAACAAGGTGAAACACCATCTCTACTAAAAATACCAAAATTAGCCAGGCATGGTGGTGGGTGCCTGGAGTCTCAGCTACTGGGGAGGTTGAGGCAGGGAGAATTGCTTGAACCCAACAGGCAGAGGTTGCAGTGAGCCAAGACTGTGCCATTGCACTCCAGCCTGGGTGACAGAGCAAGACTCCATCTCAAAAAAAAAAAAAAGTGTCAAAGAACGGAAACTCAAACTCACCAGATTAGGGCACCAGATGCCTCCATTCCCCTCGGTGTTTTCTTACACACTGTTACATTTCTTCCCTGCTATATAAACCCCTACTTTTAGTTGGTCAGGGAGATAGATTTGAGACCGAGCTCCCATCTCCTTGGCTGCAGCACCCAATTAAAGCCGTCTTCCTTGGCAATACTCATTTCAGTGATTAGCTTTCTGTGTGGTGAGCAGCAGGACTTAGACCAAACCCTCAGTATTTCAGTAACATTTCCTCTTTGGTAAATGAGATGAAACACCTCACAGGATTGAAGTTACATGGCAGAAAAGTCCAGCTATTAGTAATCTGTGGCAGATACTGGTCAACTCTCCTTTAAGCCTACCATCTCCCCTGGAGACAATGTTAGGAATAATTTCCCTGGTTCTAGAGTCTGCATTCAGAATAGCGATTTTCAGTCAGGGGTGGTACCCACTCAGAAGACATTTGGAAATGTCTGGAGATATTTTTGGTTGCCACAACTTGGGTGGTGCTCCTGTCATCTAGTGGGTAGGGGTCAAGGATGTTGCTAAACACCCTACAATGTATAGGCTGTTTCCTTCCCCAACAAAGAAGTATCTGACTCAAAATGTCAGTGTTGAGGTTGAGAAATCTTGGTTTAAAACAACAAAAATGGTTTGAAATGAAAAAATGCTGGAGTAGATATTGGGATGCCTCAATCATATACAGTTTAATAATTGGAGGAAATTGGAGGGGAGCAGTGAGGTCATGTTAGGGGCCTGGCTGGCAACTAAAGCCAGGTCTCCTGGGCTGCTACGGCCTCACGAGGTCTTCAGAGTCTGTTTCTCTGCTTTGCAGTCCTGACCACAGCACCAAGAGGTGAAAGGGCTTTGGGGCACTGACACTAAGATAGATAAACACACGTGAAATTGACATATAAACCAAAACAATATACTACTTCGTAAGCAGAAATGTAATTATTGAAGAGACTAGACACATGAATTGTCTTCTCAGGACAATCTCTTCCTGCAAGGACATTGACTGTGTTAAACATGTTATAATCAAAAGATTTCTTAGTGAACATATACTCAGAAAAAGAGGAGTTGGCTGGGCCAGTGACATATTCTGAGAGCTTTATCTGTGAGTCCACTGCTAATTAAATACACTTGTCAATGGGACAGAGTACTCTCGATGGGTGAGAGGATGTTCAGTGGATGGAATTCTGGGCCTTCCACCCAAGGTGCCACTAGAACAGCTCTACCTATACTGGTTTTATTTATTGGGGTTTTGTTCAAGATTTCATTAGAAAAAAAATGGTTCCACTATTTACAAAGTTAGAAAATCCTCCATGTAGTCCACTGACCCAAGCCCCTCCCTCACTGCTGCCAAACGTTTTTTGTCTGGCTGACCTTTCCTTGATTCTCTAGGCTGAATCTTGCTGTGTTCACAAAGGTTTTCTTCAGATAAGGCACTCTGGATACAATGAATTACCATTTGGCTTACTAAACTTTACAACCCTCTTAGGGGCTGAATAGTGTCCTCCCAAAACATGTTAAAGCCTGACCCCTAGTGCCTGTGAATGTGACCTTATTTGGGAATAGGGTCTTTGATGATGATCAAGTTAAGATAATAATCTTAATGCAGTACAACCATGCCCTTATAAAAAAGGGGGAATTTGGACACAGAGACAAATATGCATGCAGGGGAACACTTTGTGAAGATGAAGGCAGAGATTGGGGTGATCCAATCTCCACATCAAGGAAAGCCGAGAATTGCCCGTAAACTTCACAAGCTAGGAGGGGGCATGGAACAAACTTGGCAGACCTCAGAAGGAACCAATCCTGCTGACACCTTGATGTCAGACTACACACAACTCTGAGAGTATAAATTTCCGTTGTTTAAGTTACCCAGTTTACGACACTTATGACAACTCTAGGAAACTAATACAGTCCCTCATTTCATTCTTGAGATTAATTCCAGGCTTCATCAATTGCATGCTGACAGCTCATCTCTGCGATTATTTTTACCAGCAGATAATCTCATTCATCAGGGGTGTCTTTTTTTTATTAGCTTTACTCTAAATCAGCCATCTTATTTCCAAATTCTTGTGGGAGTATAGGGTACATGTCTCACAAAATTTTCCTTGAACCAACAAAACATTATGTACCTTTTATTTTTTTGGTCTCTAAAATGATGAGCTGAGAGAACCAGTGGAAAACTAAGTGAGTAAGTGGGAAGCTCTTTGGGCTTATTAGAAAGGAAATGAGTCAGATCACAATGGGCTCATTCTACAAACAAGCTCACCTTAGCTTATTCTTTTTAGAAGCAGATATTATTATTATTATCAAAACATCAAGAGAACAGAAGGATCAGAAACTTCTTAATCATCTAATATCCCAGTCTTAAGTTGGAGAATGAGTTGGGAATACAGCTCTCGACAACAGCAAGCCGTTCAAGTAAGTTGGTGCAAGATTAATACAATTTCCATGTAAAAGTAGTTAAGGCAATAAATGCTGGCACCCTGAGCTGAAGGCTTATTTGCATTGTTTGCTAAGACTCTTAGCAGTTTTGCAAATCATCAGGTGTTTAAAACAATCAGATAGTGACCTTGCAATAAATTTTGAGTGCCCTTATGCTGGGACTCAATAATGAACTCTTGCAAAAATACTAAACATGACTCTAGAAATACTCCAGTAAGTCCACAGAAAAACCCCAGAACCTTCTCTAGGTCCCCTTCCCAAAGAAACCTATCTTTAGGCTGGACCTATTTCAAGGTCTTTTGACTTAAAGTTTGACACCCCTTCCATCAAATTGCTCAGGATCCTAAAAAACATCATCCTTGATTCCTCCCTCTCTGACATTCTCTCATAGCCAAGCCATGAACAAGTGCTGTCATGTTTTGATCCTAAATAGCTATCAAATCTGTACACTTCTCCTGACTGCCACTACCATCTCCCAAACAAGCTATCATCATCTCTCATTGTAGGATTGTAATAACATCCTGATCGGTCTCCCTTCATTCCTTCTTACTCAGTCTTAACCCTCCAATCCACTGTGGCCCGAATAAATCTGATTGCATCCTACCTGCCTCAGATCCCTACTCTGCTTAAAAATGTTTCAGCTGCTTCTATTTGATTAGTCAAATATTGAGCTCCAACACTGTCAGGAGCTGAGGTGAACAAAAACAAAGGCCCCATAGAACTTAGCATGGAAGTAGAATGACAGTGCGGGGAGGAAAGGCACGCATTAAAGAATTACACAATTTTTTTAAACAGAAGGTAAAGTTACAACAGAGATAAATGCTAAGGAGAGGTGCATGGGCTATGTGAACCTATACTGGAGGAACTGTTCTCAGGGAAAGCTTCCTCCAGGAAGTGATGATTGAAAGAGGAGGATTAAAGCCAGTTGAAGAGGTAGATGGTGCCAGAGCCTATTAGGCAGACTGCATACTGCATTAAAAAAGCCCCTTGCAGAAGGGAGCATGGCTTCCTTTTCTTGGAGAAAAGAAAAGAAGTCAGTGTGGCTGGTGCAGATAGGAGAGGCAATGTTTAAAGCCAGGCATTTTGTCACATGAAGGCTTCTGATCTCTCTCCTAGGAGCAATGGGAACACAATGAAAGGTTTTGTGGGTGAAGACTTACTGTGGCATATTGAATAACAGGAATTAGTTCATGTTTGATTTTTGAAAAGATCTCTCTGGCTGTGGGGTAGCCCATAGATTTGAGGAGCAAAAGAGAATGTGGAGGGAATAGTTAGGAGACCACTATAGAAGTCCAGGCAAGAGATGAAAGAAAGTCATGTGGGCCAGATGGCTGGTGCTGGAGACAGAGGAAAGTGGACAGCTTTGGTGGGTAAAATTAATAGAACTTTCCATTGCTTTTATGAGAGAGCACATAGGATGGGCCTCTATTCTGTCTCCTAAGACCATGTCAAAGTTCCCTTTGGAAGTGAATTTATGTGGAGACCTGAGATATAAGTAGGGATGGCCCTTTTGAAAGGAGGTAGGAGTAGGCTAAGAAGACAGAAGGTAACAAGGCTCAGATACCAGTCTTTGAGAGCAGTAGACACCATGGCCTTTAGCTCTGTATCCTCCCAGCCGGCATCTAGCATAGTGCCTGGCACATTCTAAACAGTAAATTGTGGTTGAATAAATGTGAGTGAACTTAGGAACTGGAGTTTGAAGCCAGTTTGTCTGATGTCCAAGATCAAGCTCCTTCCTTGCTGCCACGCTGCTTCAGCTGGTATTTATATAATATTTCCATTTTCCTATGATAAGGAAATTGAAATTCAAGGAATCTCAAACCTAGCTGGAGAAAGAAGCAACTTCCTCACAGATTCAAAAGAAGATAATTAGGGAAAGGTAGATTTCCACCATCCACATGATGCAAGATTTTTCTCAGTCCCTTCTCTGAACTCACAGAAGAGGCACCCTGTCTACTTGGCCCACCGTGCTCAATCCCTTGCGGGAAGGAGCACATGAGCGAGCAAGTGCAGGATCTGGCTGGCTGCTCTGGACGCTGACACAGGAGCAAGCTCCATGCGTGGCCTGGGCCAGACCAGGCATATTGCCTCAAGGGGAATGCTGTGTCGCCCAGACGAGGGTGCCTGTGACCCCGAAGCCCCACAGCAGGTGTTACGGTGCTCCTTTGGTTCCAATGTCTGTAGACGGCGGTGTGTTAGCAGTTCAGTTGGCACAATGGCAGCTGCTATCCACCAGCGAGGGCAAAGGGCTGGTGTGACAGCCTTTCTGGGTACCTGCACTTTTGGGAGTCCTGAGCTCTTGTCTGGTGTCCAGGAAGAATGCAGTCACGTGGATGATTGAAGGATGGTGAAGCCAGATAAATTTTTTTGGGGGGGGGATGGGGGACGCAGTTTCACTCTTGTTCTCTTGTTGCCCAGGCTGGAGTGCAATGGTGTGATCTTGGCTCACCGCAACCTCCACCTACTGGATTCAACCGATTCTCCTGCCTCAGCCTCCTGAGTAGCTGGGATTACAGGCATGTGCCACCATGCCCGGCTAATTTTGTATTTTTAGTAGAGACGGGGTTTTTCCATGTTGGTCAGGCTGGTCTTGAACTCCCGACCTCTGGTGATCCGCCCACCTTGGCCTCCCAAAGTGCTAGGATTACAGGTGTGAGCCACCACGCCTGGCAGAAGGCAGACAATTTCACTGAGCAATGAAGATGGCTCTCAGCAGAGAGGGGAGTTGGAGAGGGGACAGGAAGGGCAGGCCATCTTCCCCAAAGTCAGGTTGTCTGTACCCTGAAGTCAGGCCGCCTCCCCCTCTACCAACTGAGTCTGGGGTCTTTATAGGCACAGGTTGGGGAGTGCATGCTGATTGGTTTGTGAGTATGCAAAAAAGGTTAACGTGAAGGCACCACTCAAAGGTGGGCATGACAGTATAGAAAACCAATTAGCAAAGGGTAGGTATATGTAAAATAGGTGAAGGGTGGAGATCAATCATAGGAAAGCACGCCAAACAGGAAGATAAGTTGTCGGTCTGGTCGGAGGATTTAACTTGTGGCTTGGCTTTCAGGCTTTAAACTGTCTTTGGCTTGGAGGTGGGCTTCACAGGGTACATGCCCCTATCTGCCTAGGCGTTTGTCTGCCTCTTGTCACTATCAGTAACAAGACAAATCTGCGTTTTAAACAGAGCCAAAGGTAATTTATGGTTTATACTACATGCCCAATGCTCTCTATATGACTTGGGATAACAGATACATAGAAACCTCAACAAATGCCCTTTAAAACCAGAAGAAGAGAAAATAAAATACAACTAACAAGACTAGAGATTGATGTAAAGGCTTTGCTACACAGCACTTCCACCCACATCTCAATGCCCGGCCCTGTTTCACTTCTTGGGAGTTGGGAAGTGTAGTTTCCCATATATCCAGGAAGGAAATGAAAATGGGATATTTGATTAGCTAAAGAATCTTCTTACTGAGGTGATGTGTTTTCTGTCTTTTATGGATCCATGCACTACTGGCTCCATGCAAAGTATCTCCTTAGAATGAGGAATGAAATGTTCTCTATCTCACTTATAACTATAATAAAACCAGATAGATAATTGGTGCTAGGAATGAGAGGAGGTGGCAGTTATAGATTTTCTTTTTAGCACCTATGATATGCCCAGCGGTATCCTTGGGCATTTATGCCGCTGAACTCACATGGGAGGGAAGGAGCTTGTTCTGGCTTTTGTTCCTGGCCAGCATTGATCTTTTTCAAGATGGCTGCCTTTATGTCATAATTCCAGCATCACTTCCAACAGTGGGGAACCCCTTGTTTGGCAAACACAAACCAATTTAAAGCAAATACAGACCACTACTTCAGGGAAATATATTTTTTAAAAAATCAAAAATTTGGAATATATGTAAATTATAATAAAGTAATTTTAAAATAAAATATTGAAATCTAAATAATGATACCTAAAATACTTTAAAAATAGAGAAATATAATAAATATAATCTCACATCTTTGAGTGAGATGACATTTTCAACTTTGAACAAAGTAATTGTATCCAGAGGGTAGATAACTTGAGCCATAGAGTGGATTCCAAGCCAACTTCTTTCCTTGCTTTTTGTTTTTACAAATTAGAAATGTTCAATTCACAATGATAAATTATATGGAATGGTGGCAGGTGTTGGTGGCTTGGTTAGTGCTCAGAAGCAGACACAATGAAATGCTGGAAGATTCCAAAGTATAACTTGGGAGACAATGGAACATAGATTACTAATGAACTCACTGCTAACTTACAATTGTCCTGGACATTAAAAAATATTTTATTCAAATAGTTGGATGTGATTTTACAGCTTTTCATGATCCATGGTTAATTTCCTCCTCTAGTGAGTGAAAGAAAATATCAACTATTGAGGCAGAGTTGAATTCTTAGCAATTCAGCTGCTTAATTCATTAGATGGACTTTCTATAAGTCTTTTCTTTTCTTTTTTAAGATGGAGTCTCACTGTTTGCCAGGCTGGGGTGCAGCGGCGCGATCTTGGCTCACTGCAACCTCCACCTCCTGGGTTCAAGCAATTTTCCTGCCTCAGCCTCTGGAGTAGCTGGGGTCACAGGTGCCTGCCATCATGCCCAGCTAATTTTTGTATTTTTAGTACAGACGGGGTTTCACCACGTTGGCCAGGCTGGTCTCCAACTCCTGACCTCAAGTGACCTGCAGGACTCAGCCTCCCAAAGTGCTGGGCTTACAGGCGTGAGCCACTGCTCCCAGCCATAAATCTTGATTAAAATCATGACACTTGAGTCCTCGTGGGATACATGCAGGTTATTTATGACCATGCATGTATTGCTGAGTTAATCTCTTCAATTAAGTCACTTGAAATCAGAGAAATAGTCTTTACTACAATTGCTATGTCATAATGAAATGTTTTCTTATTTCTCTGCTAACTTCAGAAACTCATATTGCTCATGTGAGTTTTTTTCTTCTGCAGATGGCAGGGTCTTATCCTTGCTGTCCATTTCTTTGCCCAGCATGTTCAAACATGTACACTAAGGAAAAACAAGTGCTTCAACAGTTTTCACTATTTTCTTCAACACTGAATCAAGGTCCAGAGGCACATCATTGACCCCCAACTATCACCTGTGAATAAAGAAGTATAAAGATTGGTATTTAGGGGTTCCCATTTAGGAAGCTCACTTTTCCATGCTGGAGATTGGTGCTGTGTTAGTAATGACACCAACACACATCTTTCCAGTCTAAAAATCAGGCCAATGAATAATTGCTGCTATTTTTAAATAGTATTGATTTTTTAGTAATAAATAGATAGAAGTATCCCTCTTATGTGTACTGTACATTTGCCAAGTGTGATTCATGCTTTGTGCATCATTCACAAAGCAAACTATTTTCTTTTTCTTGAGATGGAGTCTCGCTCTGTCACCCAGGCTGGAATGTGCTGGCACGATCTCGGCTGACTGCAACCTCTGCCTCCCAGGTTCAAGCAATTCTCCTGCCTCAGCCTCCCAAGTAGCTGGAATTACAGGCATGCGCCAACCGGGTTGGCTAATGTTTTATTGGTATTTTTAGTACAGACAGGGTTTCACCATGTTGGTCAGGCTGGTCTTGAACTCCTGACCTTAAGCAGTCCACCCACCTCGGCCTCCCAAAGTGCTGGGATTACAGGTGTGAGCTACAGCACCCGGCCAAAGCAAATTATTTTCTTGCACACACATATGGGACTGTTCCTCCCCATTAGAGGCCATTTCTTTGCTTGACGTTCCATTTCAGAAAGGATTTGTGCCAATAGCATGTTTTGCATTTTCTTTGGGCATCATTTCATAAACTCTGCTCCTATTTTATAAGACTTTTGGCAGTCATGTAACTTGTCCTATTTTTGCTGTAAGAAAAGCAACTTAGAATGATGACGTTGTGGATTTGGTCTCTTCCTTACTTTTAGTGACTAAACTCATTACTTTTGTACTGAAAAGCATTATTTTACAGTTCTTCCAGGACAACTAAATTGGTTTACAAGTTAGCGGACTGCCTTTGCAAATTGATACACACTGATTCAGTGGTTTTCTGCCAATATTTGACAAAGTATAACAGGCAACACACTAGAAGCACTAGAAGCAAATACCCAAAGAAATGCAGTTTTTGTCTATTCATTATTATATTTCCTGCTCATATGTTTATCAGCTGCTGCAAAATCCTGATTTGTCTCAGAACACACATTGTATTGGAATTCTTTTCCTTCTTAATATTTATCGTTATTCTTAGTTGTAATTAGGTTCTATTTTCATCACTACTTTCATGCATCAGTGCACCATGTTTGAGCCAGTAATTCCTTTTTGTCATTTGGTGATGCAATGCATCAAAATAATAATGAGAAAAATATAAATGAAACAACATAAAACACGATATGCCAGTGACATGAAAATATATTAGCCAGGATGCCCTGGATCTAATAATTGCATGCTAACCAAGATAATGAGATTCACCCAGCCATTTTAGCATACACAGATCATTTAAGAATGTAACCATTATTAAAAATACAAAAGATTTTTGTTAAAGTCTTAATTTATTTTTACATTTCTAATGTAAAATATATATGGAATAAACTTTGTTTTCTTCTAAACCATTAAACCACCTGCAAACAATTTAATAGATTTCAAGGGGACTTCTGGAAACAGCCTGTTGTCAGTCTGACCTGGTACGGAAGGGTGGAAGCTGGTCGTCCACTGTCCAGATCTCCCTTTTAGAACTGAAGTTCTTACTTCCCCAGCTGATAGGTTGGTCAGCAGCTGATAGCTCTCAGCTGAGTCCCTCTCAGGGAATTGCCCGTGGCTGAAGAGAACCACCTTGCCCATGGGCACGGCCCTTCAAGTTCCAGGGATTAGGACTCAATATCTTCGGGTTGTTATTATTCAACCTACTGCACTTTCTTCCCTTTATTTATTTTTTATTTTTGTTTTATTCCACTGTCTTGGAATAATAATGATGAAAGTTGAATAGATGTGATGATTGTCTTGTTCCTGACTATAGGGAGAATATGTATAATATCTTACCACTTTATTAAGTGAATACGTTTTCCTTATATTTCTAGTTTTCTGAAAGTTTTTATCTTACATGGTTGTTAAATTTTATTAAATACTTGTTTTGCATACTGAGATGGTTACAGGATTTTTCATATTTATTTTACTAATGAAATTAATTACATTGAATGACCTTCATGTGTTAAACTGACAGCACACACCTGGAGCTACCCCACTTGCTAACAATTTCTCATCCATTTATATGTTTCTGGATTTGAATTTTTAACTATTTAGGGTTTTAAAAATTAGTATATTATTTATCTTTGCTAATATTAAAATGAATTGGGGAATTTTCTCTCCATTCTCTGAAAGAGTTAGTATAAATTTGGTATCATTTCTTCATTAACAGTTTGGTGGAACTCACTAGTGAAGCCATCTGAATGTGTAGTTTTCTTTGTAGGAAGGTTTTAAATCATAAATTCAATTTTATTAACAGATGTTAGACAATTTAAATTTTCTACTTTTTCTCGTGTTAATTTTAGCAAGTTTTGTTTTTCAAGACATTTAACCATTTTATCTAAGATGTCAAATTTATTGGCATAAAATTGCTCATAATATTTATTTTCTAAATGTCTATAAGATTTATAGATAATTGTTTAGTTCTTGATATTGCTAACTCTACCTTCTTTGTTTCCTGATCGGTGTTGCTCAGTGTTTATCAATTACATTATTCTTATCAAAAAACCCAGTTTAAAAATCATTCTGCTTCTGCTTCCTATTTCATCAATTTTTATTCTTATGTTTATTATTCTTTATTATGTTCTTTATCATATTTTATTTGGGCTTCATTTGCTGATCTTTCATTCTTGCATCTAATGATAAAATCTTAGATATTTGATTTTAAACCTTACTCTTTTTAAATATATGATCTAAACCTATAAATTTTTCCTCTAAGTACTGTCTTAATTGTTTGCCACTGTTTTGCTATGTTGAGTTTTCGTTATTACTTCAGAACATTTTCTAATTTCCATTGTATTTTTTTCTTGACCCATTAATTATTTTTATTTATTTTATTTTTAAATATTTGGAAATGTTTATAGTTATCTTTCTGTTATTTATTTTTAACTTAATTCTCCCCTGGTCATAAAACATACTCTGTTATTTTTATCCTTTAAGATGTGTTGTGACTTCCTTTATGGCTTTTTATAGTCTATTTTGTTGTATATTCTTTATGTACTTCAAAAAGGTACATATTCTGCTGTTGGATATAGTGTTTTATTAATTTCAGCTTGGTCAGTTTGATTATTTTTATGTTTGAAATCTCCTCTATCCTTACTGATATTTTGTCCACATTTCCTATGCTTTTGAGAGAAGTGTGTTTACATTCCCAACTACCATTTTGAATTTGCCTCTTTCCATTTGTGAATTTTTACTCTTTATATTTAGAATTTGTGTTATTGGGTGCATACAGTTTTAGGACTATAGCTTCATGTCATGATCCTTTTATCACTATGTTGTACCCCTCTTTCTCTACTGTAGTACTTCTTAACTTAATGTGTACTTTGTTATCCAGTATAGTCACACCAACTGTCCTTTGGATAAAGTCTTAATGCTGTATGTTTTTCCATTCTTTTAATTGAGGGCTATCCTTATTTAAAATTAATTAAAGGGTATCTTGTAAGAAGAATATTATTGGGCTTTAGTGGTTTTGTCCAGTCTGAATATTTTTATTTTTTAATTGGAATGTTTAATGCATTTCAATGTAATTGTAATTCTTAACATAGTTATATTTAGGTCCACCACATTGCAATTTGGTTTTTATTTGCCCCATTTCTTCTTTATTCCTTTGTTGCTTCATTTTGTCTTCTTTTGTAATAAGTCTTTTCTCTTAAATTATTTATCTTTGTCGCATTTATCAGCTTTTAAATTATACCCTTGTTTGTATTTTCCTTTCAGCAGCTACTGCAGATTACAACATGCATTTTGACTTAATTTTATTAACTACCACTTCCTAAACAATATAGCATTCTTACAACAGTTAAATTTCATTTATCCTCTTGCCTCTGTGCTATTACCATCCTAGTTCACATAAGTAAAAGAGGATAAATAATTATTCTTCCAACTATTAATCTGAATGCCTCTAAATCCAGTTTGTGTGTTACTGGATTTATGTTTCTCAGAAACCCTTTTGTAGTCAGCTCAAATCACAGCAATTAGTAGTTTACATTACTGTACACTGTATTAGTTTGCTAGGGCTACCACAACAAAGTACCACAGACTGTGTGGCTTAAAAGACATGTATTTGGAAGTCTGATATCAAGGTTTTGGCAGGGATGGTTTTTTTTGTGGGCTGTATTCTTGTCTTCTTGGCTTGTATTATAGATGGCCATCTTCTTCTTGTGTCTTCACATAGTCCTCCCTCTGTGTGTGATTGTTTCCTAATCTCTCCTCTCCTTCCTTCCTTCCTTCCTTCCTTCCTTCCTTCCTTCCTTCTTTCCTTCCTTTCTTCCCTCCCTCCTTTGTTTCTCTTTCCTTCCATCCATCTTCCTTCCTTCCTTCCTTTCTTTCTTTCTTTCTTTCTTTCTTTCTTTCTTTCTTTCTTTCTTTCTTTCTTTCTCTCTCTCTCTTTCTTTCTCTCTCTTTTCTTTCCTTTTTTTCCTTTTCCTTTTCTGTTTCAGAAATGGAGTCTTACTCTGTTGCCCAGACTAGAGTGCAGTGGCACAGTCATAGCTGACTGCATCCTTGAATTCCTGGCCTCAAGTGATCCTTTCTCCTTAGCATCCCAAAATACTGGTATTACAGGTGTGATCCACCACACCTGGCCAGTCTCCACTTCTTATAAGGACACTAGTAAAGATCACGTTTTAAATTTAATCATCTTTCTAAAAACCTTATCTCCAAAATACAGTCACTTTCTCAGGTACTGGTGGTTAAGAATTCAATGTATGAATTTGGGGAGGCCAACATAATTCAGCTCACAACAGATATTCTCTGCTCTTGATGGGTGGTTTTTAATAATAGCATTTTTTTTTCCCATAATATAGTACCTAGAAATGTAACTCCTTGGTATCAAATATTTGCATTCAGTCTGTTTCTGATGTGTAATAAACCAGAAAGGCAACAAGGGAGAGTGGTTAAGACCTGTGTATTCCAGCCCCCAACCGCCAGCGCACAACTCTTACCTTCACCATGTTCTACCTGTGTGATCTTGGCAAGTCAGTTCAACTCTCTTTCAATTTTCTCGTCTGTAAAATGGGGTTAATAATACTTTGTATCTTACAACATTCAATTACTATGAGATCAAATGAGTTAATATTTGTAAAGCATTTAGAATGTTTCTCGAAAGAAATATGAAATTTATAGTATCTTGAAATGTTTAAAGCCCTGCTGCTACAAAGGATCTCTGCAGTCTTCACTCTGACCAGCTCCTCTTTGATACGTGGCTGCATTAAAGCCGTAGCAGCCCCCACCCCTTCTTTCCTTTTTTTCTCCAATCTGCCTTTTCCTTCCTCATTATTCTATGCTATCTTCTGTATCCTCATTATTAGCTATTCTATGTTACTTCTTATAGCCCTCCCTTGACCCTCTCTTCTTGGACTGTTGGCCATCTTTGCCCCTAATGACTTGGTTCCCTTCCCGTTACTTTGCTCATTCCTCTTTCTTATAGTTGTATTTTCTGCTCGTGTCTTTACTTAAGTCTATCCAATAACATAATGCCATTTAAACCTCTCTTCTTTTGGAATCACAGGGTAACACAGCATGACTGACCATGCCTTTGGTTTGCATCTGTCAGAACTTGAATTAGACTTACAGTGATGTTTATTCCTTTGTTCTTGCCAACATGCAGTTTCATTCTCCTATTGCTCCCTCTGTTAGATTCCTCTGATTAACTGTAAGTCAGTTGAAGAGCCAACCTGGCTACTTCTCCCATAGCTCTTGGGATCTCTGGTTACAAATCTGCCTCTGAGAGTCAACAGAAGGTGAGAGTGTATCCTGAAGTTTTCTTTACTTTTCCTACCTCTCAGATGCTATAGTGGGCTACAGATTCTTTCCATTCCCCCATGAGAGCATTTTCCTTCTTGAAGACAGTGTTCGTCATTCTCTTTGCCCAACAGACAGGCTCTCGTGAATGAATATTTGATTTCCCATGGAGAAGAAAGACCTGCCGGGGAAATGCCCAGTTTTGTGAGCGACGGAGTTTTAATCTTCCAAATGTCATCTGCATTTGCTTTCTTTGAAATATCCTTTCTCTTTACTGCATTTTTGGATGGGGTAGAGGAAAAATTTTACATAAAGTTAAGGACCCAGGCTTCCAAAACGGGCACGCCCAAATGAATTTGATCCCAGTTCTGTGTGACCTTGAGCAATTTCCTGTGGCTATAAGCTGTAGTGCTTTATTTATAAAATGGAGCTAAAACTACCTACCTCAAGGGTTATTGTGTATTAAATGACCCAATGCTCCTAAAGTACCCAGGCAGTGAGAAGTTCTCCGTAAATGGTAGCTATTACCATGATTACTCAAAGCTTGAATGTTATTAACATACATTCTCTTGCATTTTGCAAAGAACAATCATGTGATTTATACTTTTGCTTCCTCCAAACCTCCTGGATGCTCCTGTGCCTCCCTAGGGCTTTGAAAGAAATGGTTGTACTAGAAGCAGCTCACTCATTGGGTGTTGCGTGGCTATCCAATAATTGGTTTTAGAAAAGGTCCATATGCTCCTGGGAGAGTGGTGTGGGTCTTGCTCTTGACATGCTGTGAAGCTTTCAGGTGATTCTGATTCCTTTGATTATACAGTCCTCCAAGGTAAGGTAAATGGTCGCTTACAGAGTTTCTTGGGGCTGTGGAGGGCTGATGTTGAATTTGACAAGAGTTACCCCCTACAAATTCTAGGATTTGAAAATGTTTCCACAGTTGCCAGTCTCCATCTTGCTCTTCCCCATAGATCTTGAGCAAATTTTGATATCTTGCTGCATTTTCTTTTCCCCAGTATATGATTTAGCTCATATCAAGCAAAAACTTCAATTATTTTTATATCAAGGTTGGCAAATAAATTTCATCTTTTGTAGCAACTTCTACTGATTGGTAATGGGGAATTGGAATCCCGTGTTAAAAAAGATTCTGAGGCATGAGTTCCTGGTGGGAAGGAGTATTTAATGCCCAATCATTAGTATCTACAGTGGGCGTGAGAATCAAGGTGGGATAGCATGCTTGTCTTGTGTCTGCTGAATTTTTACCCTTTTCCAAAGCCTAACTGCTTTGTTAGAGCCCTGTGGGGGTGAATCAGACATTCAGATTGCCTTTGTTCTGCCTGAGCATGAATGCCAAGAGTAATACAGCCATGCTCTCTGGCCTCATCACAAAGACACAGCTGGGGAGGCTTTGATTCAAGCCCAGGGAGACAAGGGAGAGTCTGTGACCGGCGAACCTGGATGAACAGTGACAGAGTTTTTTTCCAAATAACTTAAACCATTTTTTTTATGACACAAAACGACTTCAGTGGCAGATTTTCTTTTTTTCAATGTCATCAATGTCATGTTGACATGGACCCAAACATCTTTTCTCTTTTTTGGGAGAAATAATCAAGAGGCTGAAATATTAGCATTATCAAGACATTATGTGGTTGACAGGGACAAATAGAACAACCTACCTAGAGGCCTTCTCTCCTCACTTAGTTTCTGACACCCAGTTCTATGCTGCCACCTGCCCCCCATCTATCTTCATGGGCATTTTCTTAGCCCCTTGGGTTTTCATGCGCTGTCAGACTTCACCTAGACATGACCACCCTTTTCATTCTGCCTGGACCCCAACTCATGCCAGGCTTCCCTTGTGTGTGGATGCCCTCCTAACGCCCTCCAACTCACGCCGATCATGCCCCCTGGCGTAGACACACTCCTTACCATGCTTGGTCTCTGATTCCCAGTACTAGGCTGCCCTCTGCAGACATGGCCTTCTCATCTTGCTGGCACACTGACTCCTCATTCCCATGCCGCCCCACCTCTCAGACAGCCTCTTTACCACTTGGGTTCCCATACCCCATGCCAGGCATCCCTCCTGCATGCATGTCCTCTTCACCCCACATGGGCCTTGACACCTGCTTGGAGGCACGGTGGCCCGTTCTATCCCTATCAGCCTGTCTTGCTCTACCTCAATAAATAGCTTGAGGATGCATTGTTCAGGAAGGAACAGGAAGGAAGGGAAAAGTGGAAGCACTGTAAAAATGTTATTATATGTCCTGAATTATATATTTACTGAAATGATGTAAAAACAGAAAAAGCAAAAGATAGGAAACACAAGCTGACCACAACATGCAGCGATTCCCCAGTGATAATCCAGTGATTAATATTTTGCTGTACATTCTTTTTCTTCTTTTTCTGTGCATACATATCTGTATCTAAAACTAATCTATATTCCTATCTATATCTATTTTGTCTCTTTGTGAATGTTAGGTATTAGTCATACCTAAACCCAGAAAACAAAAAATGATACAGAGTTTTAGAGAGGGGAGAGCTTGGCATTTTTAATGCTGAGGCTTTGTCTGTAGCAACAGAACTATTTTCTGTAGACAAAATCTGGAACTCCATCTGGTTTTTTTTTTTTTTTTTTTTTTGAGGACTTTAGTCAAGGGATTGGCACAGGAGTGAGTCAGCCTATCTCAGCTACTCTGTGTAGAGTCATCCCATCTGTAAAAAGGAGATAAAACTTGCATGTTTGAAATGCTCATAAAATGCTCTAAAGGTATTTGATGAAAATGGTAAATGTTCAATAAATATTTAAATAAAACAAGAAATGACTTAATATACTTTTTTCTCACCATCTGGGGTCAGAGACATCTTAATAAGTATATAATCAGCCTTCAGGCAAAGACAATTTAGGCAGCTTAAAACATATTTCAATTATGAATTTCACCACATTTTCATTAGAGTTCAAAAGATCCCCAAAAAATGTTTTCCAGGAAAGAAAATGGAAGTTCATAGCCGGGATTTTAATAATGAACTTAGGTCTGGTTTTCATTTGTTTCCATTGATATGTGTGTGTGTGTGTGTGTGTGTGTGTGTAAATATTTAAACATATGGAGAATATATATAATGAGAAAGAAATGGAGTTCCTTTCTCCAGGTCTGTTGCTGCTCTTTTGAGTGGGACAGATGCTCTTGCTGCCTAGGGAGAGAGAGAATCAGATACAGCTCTGTTAGAAGCTAGCAAGAGGTGAGGCAGAGACCAGAACTCAGGGTTCTGACATCAGATCTGAGCCTGTAAAAAAAAAAATGTTGGTCTAAAGTGCACACCCCGAGGATAAACTTCTAATGAAATTTCTGTCTGGCACAAATGTGTAGGAGAATGTTCGTTTCAGAATTGTGACTGGGGAAAATGATTCATAAATTCTGTGAGGAGACTCTCACACAATATCAAGCATTTGCCAACTATAAACAATATAGGATGATAAAAATAGCCGGCTCCCTAGCCCTTGCATTTCATGCAGGCTGTTGTCAGCAGGGTCTGCTGCCTGAGCACATCTCTGCGGCTTTGGGAGGCTCTGGGGAACCCCGTTTTTGAAAGCTGGTCTTGACATTCCTTTCAGGACACCTTGTTACCCAAATCAGTATATCTCTGTCCTTATTAGCTTCATAAATATTTATATTACTAAGTGTCAGAGCCTCGGGGCTCTTGTCACTTTGTCACCTTTATGATGCCTCTCCTGCACTCTCTGTGATGTTGCTTGAATGGATTATATGGCCAGGGGCCAGTGTAGAGTTCCGGATGGTCAGATGGTTGTCTGCACATTAGAAAAAGATGCTGTGTGCAAGAGTGGTAGACATAGGAAGGCAAAAAGAGCACTACGTATGAGGGACAATGCAAAGACTGGGTAATAAGACCTATTTCTGCCTCCACCTCCAGGACCTCTGGAACGACCTCTCAAGGTGTCAGCTTTTCAGATGCCTTCCTTCTGTTTGTCCAGTCATATTCCCCTCCTTCAAGTATTAGCTCAAGTTTATCTCCTTAAAATTAAATGATCTCCATCTCCTATCTGCCAGGCAACTCCTGACCTACTAGATAATTCTCTTTGTTATCATAATTCTTGCATTGCTAAAGGTTATATGTAGTTTAGGTCCAATGACTCACTCTATTATACTATAAGGAAGTTTAGGGGAAGGACTCTGTGTCTTAACCTAGGAACTAAACAGAACACAGCTCTAACATTCTGATTTTCTGGCAGGTAATATAAGAATCAGTAACAAATACTGACCCAGTTTTGTGATCTTTTTCTTTCTGAAAATAAAAATTTGGGGTAAGAGTATTTCTGTATTTATAGACATTTTCAAAAATGTGATAAAATATTTAGAATATTTAAAAGCCTTCTTTAGCGTATCGATTTTAAAAAGAAATATCATGCAAAATTAAAAACATTCTTCTTCTAGAGAAATTCCCATTTCTTTTTCCTGCATTTTCTTCCTTCCTTTTAAATCTAAGACTAACACAGTGCGTTTACGCACACATTGCACCAAATGAAGCTAACTTATGCACCCTATCCCAGCCCATATTTTAGCTTTATTATTGTCTTTATTCTTCTTCTTCTAAATAAGCAACCTCTACGTCTGTGTGATAAGCTTACATTTTCAGAGAGATATGAGTCTGTTGCCAAGGAGTCAGCTCAGGGCCAAAGAGGAACTCCTGAATTCTTCTTGTTTTGACTCTGAGACTTCTAAGAGTGAGTGTCTAGGGAGAAGAAGCTTGGCAAAGTTGAAAACAAGAGGACTGCCCGGTTTTTTATGCATATGTCCCTATTCCTGAGACAGGAATAGGACCACCTAGAGAATCTTTAGACATTATCAGAGGAGGTAGATGGAAACCAAGAATGAGTTGCTGAAAGGGAGGTGGGTGTGCACTCCAAGCAGGTTTTGCTCTTTACATATTTCCTGAAGGCCTTGGTTTGTTTGCAAATGTTTACATTTCATACTTTGATATTCAATCAGTTTGGAATCCCAATCAAAGCTGGATTAATCACAAAAGAGAGTTTATTGGCTCATATAATGGTACAGATGTAGACTTCAAGAAAGGCCAAGACCTCCTTTTTCTCTATGCATCTCAATTCCACTTTCTGGTGTTACCTGTAGGATTGAAGCAGGTTCCCCTGGTGCCTGCCAGCAGCTTCTGGAGCCACACTCATGTCAATCCTGGAGGCGGTTGCTGGTTGAGGTGAAGGGATGATGAGAGTTACCTTAAGTCCATCAGGGCCCATTCATGGATGTGGGGGAGGGAGGTATCAATTCCTTCTAAATTGCATGAATCTTATACTGTGCAGTGGAAAAAGTATTATGCTTTCCCATAAAAAGTTATTGGTTCAAAGTCTGGACCCTTAATTCTAGTAGCTTCAGCTTCCTTTTGTTTCTCAGTTGGAGGTGATAATAATAGTTATCTCACAGGAGGATTGTTGGCAGGATTAAATGAGATAATCTATGTAAAGTGCTCAGTATACTGTTTGGTACACAGTAGGTTCTCCAATTTCCTTTCTCCTATTTGTCCAGACCAGCCCCTGAACCTGTGCCAAGACCACAAGACCTCTTTTGACAAAAATTCCATTCGGTAGCTTAGGAAGGTCTCAGTGAGCCTCTGACAGAAACTTGGGCCTCAGCATGTGCTAGCAATGGACGATTGTACAAAAGATTTCATTCCAATCTTTGAGGCCAGATAACCCCATATGCTTAACATTCTCGATTACATGTAAACATTGCAACCTTCTCTTTCTGTATAGGCCTCCCAAATAGCTTGGCCATTCCTGATCCCTGACTCATCCTTTCACCCTTGTCTTGCCTAGCAACAATTTTCTCCATTCTTCTGGCCCTGCCATTACTCATGTGAATGTGGGTATTGGAACTAAACGACTTATCAGATATCTTTGCAGATAGTGAACCTCTTCAGCCTCAAGATCCCCCATCTCTGGTGTGTATCGGAGATGAAGGATCTTGAGGCTGAAGGGGTTAACTGAGGACTCCCTGTATTCTATCATTGTCCAAAGCTTTCTCATCACTGAAAATCTGAACTGCAACATCACGTTTTCTGATGACAACCTCACAATTATCCAACTCTTTCAATCTCATTTCCCACTGTCTGTTCTTCAACCTCATGCAAATTTTAATTCCGTGGTACCTCTTTTTTTCTTCCCAGTTAGTTAAAACTTTTAAATCTTCGCTTGTTTTTCTAGATCTGATGGTTTATCAGTTCAACCACTCTCATCTCTTTGATCTTCCACCATCCTTGGCTTAACTCCCAATTCTGAGGACCAGTCCCACCAGTTTGTCATCTCTGCTTCTGTATCCATGTTGCTAAGGATTTCTGAGGAAAACTGCAAAATTGTTCAAATTGATGCCTTTATGATGCCATTGTCTCTGATGCCAGGTAAGTCCTCAACAATGCCTCGCAACCTCTCAGGCAGGAAAGTCCTGGATAATTTTTTTTTTTTTTTGATATGGAGTCTCACTCTGTCACCCAGGCCAGAGTGTAGTGGTGCGATCTCCGCTCACTGCAACCTCTGCCTCCCAGGTTCAAGCAATTCTCCTGCCTCAGTCCTTGAGTAGCTGAGACTACAGGCACCTGCCACCATGCTCAGCTAATTTTTGTATTTTTAGTAGAGACGGGTTTTCACCATGTTAGCCAGGATGGTCTCGATCTCTTGACCTCAGGATCTGTCCACCTCAGCCTTCCAAAGTGCTGTGATTGCAGGCGTGAGCCACCACACCAGGCCTCTTTTTTTTTTTTTTTTTTTTTTTTGAGACCGAGTCTCACTCTGTTGCTCAGGCTGGAGTGCAGTGGTGCAATCTTGGCTCACTGCAACCTCCGTCTCCAGGGTTCAAGCAATTCTCTTGCCTCAGCCTCCTGAGTAGCTGAGATTACAGGCGCCCGCCACCATGCTCACCTATTTTTTGTATTTTTAGTAGAGAGGGGGTTTCACCATGTTAGCTAGGCTGGTCTTGAACTCCTGACATCAGGTGATCTGCCCACCTCGGCCTCCCAAAATGCTGGGATTATAGGCGTGAGCCACTGCACCCAGCTCAAAAGTTTGACTTTAAACGTGGTAAATTTGAGATGCCTATTACACATTTAAGAAGATGCATCTAAGATGCAATTGGATATAGGAGTCTGAAGTTCAGGGAGAAGTCTGGGTTAAAGATACAAATTGAAGTTTCCTCAGTATTTGGAAAGCATTTATTTTAAAGTCATGAGACTGGATGAGCTCATCAGGATGATTAGTTTAGATAAAGAAGAGCAGGGGCCAAGTGTGGTGGCTCACGCCTGTAATCCCAGCACTTTGGGAGGCCGAGGAGGGTGGATCATGAGGTCAGGCGATCAAGACCAGCCTGATCAACATGGTGAAACCCCCTCTCTACTAAAAGGACAAAAACTAGCCAGGTGTGGTGGTACATACCTGTTATCCCAGCTACTCAGGAGGCTGAGGCAGGAGAATCGCTTGAACCCGGGAGGTGGAGGTTGTAGTGAGCCGAGATCGCGCCACTGCACTCCAGCCTGGGTGACAGAGCGAGACCACCTCAAAGAAAAAAAAAAAAAGGAATACAAGGACAGAGCCCTTGAGACAAATATATACGTGTTTGTACGTGTGTGTCTGTGTGTGTGTGTCAATAAGTGATTTTTCATAATTGTACTTTCATTGCCTAGAACATTGAGTGCATTCTGAGTAGGCACTTAATAAATTAGTAAATGAAAAAATTAATGAATGAATGACTATCAAACTTCTGCATAAATTTTCATTTGAAGAAAATGCTTTAATCACTGCTTTAGGTTTGCAAACCACTGTAGTATACACTGATACACACTTCAGTGTACATTGATGGTAATTCTAGGTTTATTTGAAGAGTTATGATTTAATAAAATTGTATTCATATATTAGAACTACTTAGAACCAAAATATGTTGAAAAAATATTACTCCATGGGATAAAAGAACCAGATCAAAATAAGAAATAAGCAATTTTGCCAAATGTCACAGAGTTCAAAATAAGAACTGAAAAATGTTTCCCTGAATCAGATAAATGGAAGTTTATTAATAATCTCAGCAAGACATATTTCCAATTAAACAAATGAGAACTCCTAAGAGTAAACTAAAATTGGGAGAATCTTGGCTGTGACTATAAAGAGAAAAATCAGATCATGGCTAGATAGGACAAAGATCATGTCTATATGCTGATACGAATGAACAAGGAGAGAGAAGAGGCTATTGCCAGAGGAGAGGGAATAATTGATGTAGTTATTTGTTGTTGGTGTGAGAGGGGATAGGTTCAGGTGATATTTGCTTTAGATGAGAGAAGGAAAGAATAAGTTATAAATGCAGGATCAGGTGCATTTCTTTAAAGAGAGGATCAGGAACCTAGAGTGTATTTTCTCTATGATGTAGGAAGTGTCTGATGCAAGTCAGAAGGTGAGAGTAGGAGAGGAAATTTGAAGAGAATGGTGGGTATTTTAAGCAGATTGCATAAGAAATTGTCGTCCAGGCACTGTGGCTCATGCCTGTAGTCCTAGCACTTTGGGAGGCCAAGGCGGGCGGTTCACCTGAGGTCAGGAGTTCAAGACCAGCCTGGCCAACATGGTGAAACCCCATCTCTACTAAAAATACAAAAACTAGCCAGGCATGGTAGCGGGCACGTGTAACCCCAGCTACTCGGTAGGCTGAGGCAGGAGAATCACTTAAACTCAGGAGATGGAAGTTGCAGTGAGCCAAGATCACGCCATCGCACTCCAGCTGGGCAACAGAGTGAGACTGTGCCTCAAAAATAAAAACGAAAACAACAAAACACCATCAACAAAAAAACAAATTGACTGTACCAAGTTCTGCTCCCCTCTGCAATATATAAAAATTCTTACTGCTATTCCTCCTTTCTGCATTCTATATCTTTTTTTCCCTGTTCTATTTTCTGGATAGACTACTGATCTTTCATTTTTGAGGTGTAAAAATTATCTGTTTGGCTGTGTCTAATCTGCTTTTTAACTCACTATAGTTTATTTTGTTTTATTTTATATTTGTTTATTTAGAGACAAGGTCTTGCTCTGACACCCAGGCTGAAGTGCAGTGGCATGACCTTGGCTTACTGCAGCCTCAACCTCCTGGGCTCAAGAAATCCTCCCATCTCAGCCTCCTGAGTAGCTGGGACTACGGGCACAAGCCACCATGCAGGCTAATTTAATTTTTTTTTTTTTTTTGTAGTGAGATGGGCCTCACTATGTTGCCCAGGGTGGTCTCAAACTCCTGGCCTCTAGTGATCCTCTCACCCTGGCCTCCCAAAGTGCTGGAATTATAAGTGTGAGCCACCATGCCCAGCCTTATTGTGATTGGTTTTCGATTTATTTATTTATTTTTGTTTTATCCCCCTAAGTTTTTCATTTCTGGAAGTTTTGGTCATTTCCTTTAAAATATGCCTTTTTTCCCTTAAAAAGCCAATAGTTCCTTTCTTATGATTTGATTTATTTTTTAATAATATGAAACTTATTTCTTTTCTATAACTTTCCTGAGTGCTTCGTTTTTGCAAGTCCTGAGGCTCTAATTTCACTGGTTGTTGAGTGTGATTTTCATGCAGCTTGCTTGTTCATATCCACGATTTCATGATTGTGAGTACACCATATCTGTGGGAATTCTGTACTGCCTGTATCTGTCTTCTGGAGACGTTTGCATCTGCTTCTGCCAGGAACCCCAGAACTTCATTTCTTTTTTTCTCTTTTTGTTCTAGAGACTTCATATTTTTAGATCAACTTTAGGTTCACAGCAAAACTGAGCAAAAAGTACAGAGTTTCCTCATAACCCTTGTCCCCACACATACACAGACTTCTCCACTGTTAGCATCCACCCCTGCCATCCACAGAGAATGCTACATTTCTTACAATTGATGAACCTACATCAGTACATCATCATCACTCAAAATCCATACTTTACATTATGGTTCACTGTTGGTGCCCATTTCTTATTTAAAAATAGCTTTTTATTGTGGAAAACTTCAAACAAATGGAAAAAAATGTTACAGCTTCATGCAAGAGTCTCTATTTCAACTCTATGCCTTGTGGAAGTCCAAAGCCGCCTCTCCAATCTCCATGGGGCAGTTAATATCCAAACTGCTCAGTTCCTGAGACCAGTAAAAATGTCTTCAGAGCAGAGAACCATTGCCACTTGTTCCCTCTGCTCATTTTTATCTTTTTTATTTCTATTACTTTATTTTATTTTAATTTAGGGCGGAGTCCTACTCTGTCACCCAGGCTGGAGTGCAGTGATGTGATCAAAGCTCACTGCAGCGTCGACCTCCTTGGCTCCAGTGATCCTCCTGCCTCAGCCTCCCAAATAGTTGGAACTACAGGCACATGCCACCATGCCTGGCTAATTATAAAATATTTGGGAGACGAGGTCTTGCTAAGTTGCCTAGGCTGATCTCCAACTCCTGGCCTCAAGTGATCTTCCTGTCTCAGCCCCCCAAGTTGCTGGGATTAAAGGTGTGAGCCACCACACCTGGCTCCTATTTCTGTATTTGAATTTTCCTTAATTTATTAGAGGCTCAGCTATGCATTAGAAATATGTTTTGATATATTTTATATCGCTTTTCTAAGTGTTTTGTAACAGAAAGCTTTCAAGTGATCTACTTTGCTATATTTTCAGAATGGAACTATCTCGAGACTTTTCCACATGTAAATGCCTACTTCCTACTTCCCACTGTCCTTCAGGAGCTTCTCTCGTTGCTCCTGACCCTCAGACGTGTGTGGTTCCCTGGGTTTCACTTCAGTTCTCTTCTCTTCTTATCTATGTCTATGCCTTCAACTAAATTGATAATTCCCAAGTTAGGATTTCTAGTCAAGACCTAGCTCTTGACTATATACCCCGCCGCTTACTGAATGTTCCCACTTTGGTGTCCCCCAGTTAACTATTCACCTATGCAAGTTCAGACCTGATTTTATTATTGTTTCCCACTGACTGACTTTCTTGTTACTGTCCTGCAGATGGAACATGTCAAATCATAGTTCATGGAACAAATGCCATGATTGACTAACCTTTAGAGATGGCCATTTGAATACAGGTTCATGATGTCTGAGGGCCTGCTCTGCCGGGCTCAGCACCAGGCAGGGCTTACAGTGGCGTCTTTACAGGAGGCAGAATTGAGCCCCAGAATCCAGGCTTTCCAGGCACATGACTGCCTCACCTTACCTGGGGAAATTGAGCTTTCGGAGTCAAATGACAACACATTTGACGAAGGGGCAGTGCACACTGGTGGGTATTCTCTTCCTCAGTGTTACTCTCATCCAAACCAATGCAGCCTCAGCCCCTCTGTAACAATTGCATCGAGCCTCTTCGCCCTCACATCCATGGTTCAGAAACGGGGCTTACCGGTAATCTGCAGGGTTTTTCCTTTTATCTGCCTGGGGAATGTGTAGCACATTGCTGGCCTGTAGCAGACTTTTAAATTATAATACTTGTTGTGTTGAATTAAATGAATACAAATTCTCACTGCCACTTGGGAAAGGTAATCTGAAATACAGTAAAAAAATATAGTTTTCGTGGTGAGACATGATTGGCTCTAATACATTCATAAATAGGAAAATACATCAAAACCACTTTACACGTCAGGAGGAAACATGGTTTTGGGTCTCGGTTTATAGACTTGCATACGGTTGTTGTTGTATCTAAAATTTAGGTTTGCATACATTGACCTGTGATGAGTATATCAACGCAGATGTATATTTGCAAATGCAAGGTATTAAATGCAAGGTATTCTGTCTCAAAAACAAGAAGAGATTAGCCAACAGTGAGACATCTTCTCTCAAGCACTGCGTTGAATAGCATATTAGATCATCCGAATGCTTTCCACAGTTTAGCAATTTATTTCTTGCTTTTGCTTCTAGTTTGAAGCTCAAATTCTATCTGAGATAGATCATTCACACTCAGTTAATCTGCCACCAGGTTTTGATGGATACAGCAAGGTGCTCTTGAGACAGGAACATGAACATCTATAAATCTAAAACCTTGAGATATCGAGACATCAAAACCAAGTGTACTTGTCCTTACTAGGGTTGGGGCAAAGGGCTGAATCTGACCTGTTTTTCCATTGCTCACTTTAGCCTTTCCCTCTTAATACTGAATACACCTTTTAAAAAGGAAATAATAAAATAAAATATAGCTATGATCTATTGAGTTCTTACTATATTCTAGGCACCGTACTATGTGTTTTACATAGACTATTTTGTTTATGCTCAATATAACTGTATCAGATAGGCTCACTAGGTATGAGAAAATGGAATCTCAAAGAGTGTGGGCCTTCACCAGTCTCATGGATAGCCTGGCAGAAAAATGTCACGATTAAGACTGCTGGTTCTGGAATTGAACTATCTGGATTTCAATCTCTGCTCAGGCACTCAGTTTGTGACTATGAGTAATTAACTTAACCATCCATGTCCCATTCTTGCCCCCAGGTTTATTGTAAAGATTTAATAAGTGAAACCAGGCATGGTGGCTCACGGCTGTAATCCCCACACTTTGGGAGGCTGGGGCAGGAGGATTGCTTGATCCCAGGAGTTCAAGATCAGCCTGGGCAATATAGGTAGACTCCATCCCTACAAAAATAAAAGCATCCAGGCATGCATCTGTAGTCCCAGGTACTCAAGAGGCTGAGGCAGGGAGATCAATTGAGACCGGGAGGTTGAGGCTGTAGTGACTGTGATCATGCTAGTGCACTCCAACCTGGGCAACAGAATGAGATCCTGTCTCAAAAACAAAAAAAGATTTAATTAGTGAATATGAAGCATTCTGACTAGTTCCCAGCCTAGTAGTCACTCAATCAACAGTAGCAAATATTATGAGGTGGAGCAAGGATTTCAAATCCAAGTCTGTTTGATTTCAAAACTCATGTTCCTAGTCATTATTCACTTTGCCTCCCCTCTAAATGTTTTTTGAAAAATGGAAACACTTGGGCTTAGGGGGCTTTTTAGAGGAATAGTGGAGCTCAAGGCCATTCATCACTGTGTCATTTTGATAGAGGCAGGAAGCAGAGAACTCTCCTAGGCAGATAGGGGAGGGTCCCCAGAGAATTTCCGACGTGCCCCACACATATTTGCACCAGATGCTTTGTGCAGGTAAGGGAACCTGCACAGGGGGCTTGCCTAAACCTGCCTGTGGTGAAAAATTCCATCCATGAACACATGCACAGTCAGAGAAATAAATCAATATAGAGTGGCTCAGACTAAGGGCCTGCATGTGCACTGGGAAGATGGAGTGGAGCTTCCAGGAATTCATGCCTTACACAAGTAGGGAACCTAGCCCCATCAGTGGAATATAGAAGCCTTTGTATTCAACTGTGAAGGGGGCAACCAAACCTGCTTTCAGGACCCCTCTTTTTGCTGAGTGCTTTCCTTTTCACTTAATAAATTCTACTCCACTCACTCTTTGATGTCTGTGTGTCTAATTTTTCCTGGTTGTGAGACACGAACCCAGATCTAGCTGAGCTAAGGAGTAAAAAATCCTGGATCAATTCATTCAGTTATCCCACCGCCTCTCAGCCTGCCACACACTTACATGAGAAAGGGGAATGCGTGTCTTCCACTGGTAGCTCTATGGAGTGTTCTCCATTCTGAGGATCCTCTTTGTAAAAGCATCCATTGCATTTGGAGACGGTGTCTCCACTTAGAAAATGCAGTAGAGTCTGAAATAGACATGATCTTGCAGATATTATTAGCATGGGGCATGAGTAGGCACTAATGGCTTCTTTACATGCAGTGCTGTCTTAGGTATCAGAAAGCGAGAATTATACACAGTGCTAAAACCTAAAACCTTAAACCTAAAACCTTAGGTGATCTTAGTGTATAAGATCACAGAGTAATCTCCTAAATCATTGATCACTGATAACCTCCTAAACTGCATATCCATTGACCATCACTTCCTACAAATCCCAGAAAAATAAGTTGTTTATACCATATTTAGTTTACCACATTTATTCATACGATTATCTTAGTTTTCCAACTTTAAGTTCTTCTTCATTCATCACTGACCTGAGGTGATGTTAAAATTTGCTGCAGATATGCATGTAGAGATACCTACACATCTATAAATCTATATCAATGTCTAATACTTTGATTTATGATTACAAACATCTCAAATAAATTAACATCTCCACCTCGATGAATTCATGCTCATTCTCCTTGTACTCCAATTTCTCTGCTTGTCTTTTTCTATATTGGTATTCCTGTTTAGTATTGTCATGTTATGTACACTCCTGGTGTGACCTTGCATGGTGTCAAACTTCTACATTTTTGCATCAGTATCCTAAGCTTCGGACCCTTATATTCAACTTCCAGCTGAACAGCTTCATTAGTATGTTTCACAGCTTCCACAACCAGGCATGTACCAAACTAGATTTGTTACCTCTCCCTTTCCCTGACCCAAACCTATTTTGTGTTTCCAGTTTCAGTTGATCATGCCATCACCCACCTCAGTCATTCAAACCAGTGATCCGGAATCTTCTTAACTTCTGTCATCTGCCTCACTCCCCACCTTCAACCAGTCCCCGAGTCTTACTCATTCAGTGCTTTAGCTGGGAACATGATCCTTCACCTGAAGTGCCCCATCAATCTCCTGAGTAAGAACTTGGACTCCACTTGTCCTTCTTATTCATTCCCCATCTGGCTGCCCAACTACAGTTCCAAAAGCAAATTAGATGATTTTTCGTCCTTACTTAAAATCCTTTAGTGACACCCCACAAAGATTTAGGAAGAAAGCTCTAACTTCTTGGTCCTACCAGAGATGAGCTTTCTGTTCCAAACATGTTAAACATTCCCATCTCCAGCTTTCCCTTCCCCTGGTCTAGCCTCCCCTTTTCCTTCTCCTTTACTTCCCACAGCTTCCCATGCTTCCCTCTGATCCAAAGCAAAGCTCATGCCTGAACATCGTTGTTCTTTGACCTTCACATACATAATCTGCTTCAGAGTTCAAGATTTGGTTCAGGCATAACTTCTTCTGGGGAGTCTTTCCTGATTCTTCTAATCTGTGTCTGACCATTATTGATCCCTCACTGTGTATCAGAAATTTTATTTAAATTATTTAGTTCTCATCAAACTCCTATGAGGCAGGTTCTTCTATTGTCCTTATTTTACTAAAGAGGAAAGAGTACCAAGAGATAAAGTTAATTTGCATCTACTAGTAAATGACAGAGTGGAGATTTGAATCCAGATGTCTGTGGAGGGCAGGGCTTGTGTATGAGTATTAGTGTTTAGCTAACTCTGGCTTGTGAATTGAATTAATTCTCAGGTTTGGTGCTAGACTCAATCTGAAGTAAGAAAATATATTTTGGAATTTAAAAAATACATGTTGGGGTTCTTTAGCCTTCTTCCCAGAACTCTAATTTCCCTACAATGTCTCAACCTCCTCAATTCATATGAGAATAATTACTTCAGGTTTAGTGGGAACTGGTGAATTTTTACGTGCTCATGCTTTCTGGCTTAAATCGGGTGTAACACTGACTGAGGGGTCTCTGGAAGCACGTTGCCCTGGGATCCAATACCTCACGCTGGGGCAAGTTGAAGACAGGGGTTGGATTGGGGTATAAGCAAGGTTTGTGAAAAGATTTGGGAGAGATGAAACCTTCTAGAAAGACTCAAATCACACTTTCCTTTCTTTTTCTTTTTTTGACAGAGTATCGCTCTGTCCCTCAGGCTGGAGTGCAGTGGCGTGATCTTGGCTCACTGCAACCTTCACCTCCCAGGTTCAAGCAATTCTCCTACCTCAGCCTCCTGAGTAGCTGGGATTAAAGGTGCATGCCACCATGTCTGGTTGATTTTTTTTCTTGTATTTTTAGTAGAGGTGGGGTTTCACCATTTTGGCCAGGCTGGTCTTGAACTCCTGACCTCAGGTCATCCACTTGCCTCAGCTTCCAAAAGTGCTGAGATTATGGGCGTGAGCCACCATGCCTGGCCTCAAATCACACTTTCTATGTGTCTTTTTCCTCAGAGGTGGAAACTGTTTGTTTGTTTTATACAGAATCAACCAATAAATTCAAAAAAGGCACCAGTATAAGTTCAAGGTAAACAAACTTCCATAATATTTAATCAGAATTTTAAAAAATCATCAGAGGAAATGTGTACCTGAGTGAAGCAGTATTGGCTAACCACCAGCAAAATTTTAGACTCCAATTATTGTACTTATTTTTTAATCCAAGAAAGCAAATTTTTTTATTGGATTAAAAAGAGTAAAATAATATTTTTATGTGTTTGATATACCCATTATATGGTAAAAATCATATCAATTTAATGATCATATTGTTGATAATGATATTGTATTTATTTTCGATAACTGGGTGACTAGAGGAGTCCCATCCACTCACTCCATGTTTAATGATGGATGAAGACTCACACTATAGAGGCATTTTAAACCCATCTGTAAACCCTGAAGCTGTGACCAAATAGTATTTTCTTCAGATTAGTAGACAGCCTGGAAGTCTAGCCCTGGTTTCCCGACTCCAGTATAGTGCTTCTGATGTGCTGTGAATACAATTACACAGTCTCAATTAGCCTTGCTCTCTTCTATTAAATCCAAATAAGTTCCTTAATATAATTAGTATGACTAAGGTTTTCCGTGGGTGCAAAAGTAATTGCAGTTTTGGCCGTTACTTTTAAAACCACAATTAATTTTGCACTGACCTAACACCTTTAAAAAAAAAAAAGAAGTGGAACTGAAACTTTTTGTTAATGAGAGACAGAGGGAGAGACAGAGACTCAGAATCATCTGCTCCAACCTACCCCCAAGGATATCACTCCCCACCCAGAGCCTCTGTGACGCCATTTCTTTCCATTTTGCAGCCATTCTTCCAGCCATGCCAAGTTTTTCCAGAGATTTTGAATTTTTGTCTTTTTTCCCTTTGCCTTTCATTCCACATTCAAGCTGGTTTAATCTTTCATCTCATCCCCTCCTCCCTGCGGGGGAAACTTCTCCTGCTCCCCACCAAAGAGCTAGGCACTCCTGTCTTGAAGATTTCTCAACTTCTCTTTTGTCAGGGAGCTCCCTGTATTCTAATCATGTGAGGGCCCTGACTGTTCCCTGTCGGAGACTACAAGGTGTCTATGGAAGGAATAAATGGCCGCTGGGCTTTCTCTAGAGTGTAGGTGTATGGTGCCTAACGCAAGGAGTGTTCAGGTCCTAATTCAGTATAAAATGGAAATTGAAAGCAAGAGGGCTGCTATTATATTTCCTGTTTCACCCTTTGGAGGGTTTTTAAAATGTCAGAACTAGGCCAGGCGCGGTGGCTCACGCCTGTAATCCCAGCACTTTGGGAGGCCAAGGCAGGCGGATCACGAGGTCAGGAGATCAAGACCATCCTGGGTAACATGGTGAAACCCCATCTCTACTAAAAATACAAAAAAATTAGCCGGGCTTGGTGGCAGGCGCCTGTAGTCCCAGCTACTCAGAAGGCTGAGGCAGGAGAATGGCATGAACCCAGGAGTCGGAGCTTGTAGTGAGCCGAGATTGCACCACTGCACTCCAGCCTGGGTGACAGAGCAAGATTCCATCAAAAACAAAAGAAAAAAACAAAAGATGTCAGAACTAGAGGAAAGGTAAAAAATAGTATTCATCATCTGGTAATTTAATCTCTACAATGAAAAGAAACTATTTGACTCTTTGCTTCTTTGATTGAGTTATAGCCTCTATTTAGATTTAAGGTTTTAGGGTGTATGTATGTAGAGGAAATACTGTTTCAAAAAAAATGGAATCTCGATCTAAACACTTTTACATTTACTCAAAATGGATCATGGACTTAAATGTAAAACTATGAAACTTTTTGAAAAAAGGAGAAAAATCTTCAGGATCTAGGGCTAAGCAAAGAGATCTTAGACTTGACAACAAAAGCACAATCCATAAAAGGAAAAGTAGATAAATCGGGTCTCATTAAAACTGAAAGCTTGTTATCTGTGGAACATATGTGAAAAAGATGAAAAGACAGGTTGCAGACCAAGAGAAAATACTTGCAAATCACATATCCATCAAAGGACTAGTATTTAGAATATATAAAGAACTCTCAAAACTCAACATTAAAAAAAATCCAGTTAGAAAGTGGGCAAAACACATAAACAGCTATTTCACCAAAGAGACTATACAGTTAGAAAATAAGCACATAAAAAGAAGTTCAATCTCATTGAACATCACGATAATGCAAATGAAACCACAATGAATTATCAATACACAGCTATTGGAATGGCTAAGATAAAAAATAGTGACAAAACCAAACCTAGCAGGGATGCAGAAAAAAAATGGAGCTTTTACATTCCTGGGAGGAATGATACAGCCACTTTGGAAAATAGTTTCACAGCTCTTATCCGGCTAAAGATGCAATTACCATATGGCCCAGCAATTGTATTCTTAAGTATTTAACTCAGAGAAATAAAAATTTATGTTCACACAAAAACCTGTACACAAATGTTCATAGCAGCTTTATTCATAATATCTAAAAGCTGGAAATAGCTCAGAGGTCCTTCTATGGGTAAATGGTTAAACAAACTGTGGTACATCCATGGAATAACCCAGTAATAAAAAGGAACAAACCGTTGATACACACAATGATGGATGAATCTTCAGAGAATTATGCTGAATGAAAAAAGTGACTCTTCAAATGTCTCATACTGTGTAATTCCATTTATGTAAAGCAGTCTTGAAATAACAAACCTTAGAAATGGAGAACAGACAAGTGGTTGCCAGAGGTTAGGGGTGGGGAGGGGAGTTAGGAGGGACTTGGGTTGGGTTATAAAAGTGCAGCACAAGGGATACTTGTCACGTTGGAACTTCTCAGTATCTTGACTGTGCTGGTGGATGTCTGAGCATACATGTGATAAAAGTAGATAGTACCTGATTCACACACACACACACACACAGAGTCATGAGTACAGCAGGTTCTCCAGTAGCATCGTTTCATTCAATGTCATTTTGTTATAACACTGATGAAAAAAAAAGATTCCTGGCCAGGGCCTGTCTGTGTTGAGTTTGTGGGTTCTCCGCATGCCTGTGTGGGTTTTCTCTGTGTGCCTTGGTTTCCTCCTACATTCCAAAGCTGTGCCCTTTAGGTTCATTGGTATGTCTACATGGTTCCAGTGGTGTGAGTCAGCGTGGGTGTGTGTGAATGCACCCTGGGGTAAGATGGCATCCCATCCAGGGTTGGTTTCTGCCTTGGGACCTGAGCTGCCTGGATGGGCTCCAGCCACCAATAACCCTTAACTGAAATAAGCAGGTTGGAAAATGAATGAATGTATACAAATGATCATAAAATAAAATTTCACAAAGTCTATTATAATCATCCAAATGCATGACAATAAATGATGCCTGACAAAAGCCGCCATGTTGGTAATTGTTTTTGGCCTGCAAGGTGGTGGGAGGTGCCCCAGACAATGTTTGCTTTACAAACATTTATTCTTTCAACTCACCACCAGACAACCACCACCATTCACAAATTCACCCAAAATTGGGTAAACAATTATCTTACCTGTTTTTATTAATCTGTCCTAAATGTGTGTATAGTTCACATTTATTCCAGTGCTTAAGACTAATTAGGGGTGTTTTAGGTCTTTATTTAGAAGTTTGGTCATGTTTTTGGGACCAGAAATGTACCTAGGAATTTAACTCCTGTTCGTATCAATTAGCCTATGGTAAAATTGGTTTTATTATACTTGGTTTCACTTAAAGTTGCAGTTTTCAAGAAACTATATGCCACGTTAAGTGAGGAATTACTGTACAAGTAAAACTGGGAAAGCTGGAAGAAGGTCTGTAGGTTGTATCAATGCCAATATGGTTGTGATGTTATACTATAGCTCTGCAAAATTTTACCCTTGGGGGAAACTGGTTAAAGTGCATATCGGGGCCAGATGCAGTGGCTCATGCCTGTAATCCCAGCATTTTGGGAGGCCGAGGTGGGTGGATCACTTGAGGTCAGGAGTTTGAGATTAGCCTGGCCAACATGGTGAAACCCCATCTCTACTAAAAATACAAAAATTAGCCAGGCGTGGTGGCGGGCGCCTGTAATCCCAGCTACTCTGGAGGCTGAAGCATAAGAATCACTTGAACCCAGGAGGCGGAGGCTGCAGTGAGCCGAGATCCCGCCACTGCACTCCAGCCTGGGTGACAGAGTGAGACTCTGTCTCAAAAAAAAAAAAAAAAAAAAAAAAAAAACCCATTAAATAAATAAATAAATAAATAAATAAATAAATAAATAAAGTGCATATGGGATCTCTATGTATTATTTCTTCTAACTGTATGCAGATCTATTCTATAATTATCTCAGTAAAAATTTCAGTCAAGAAGGCAGGGGCTTATTTAT
This sequence comes from Homo sapiens, assembly GCF_000001405.40. Taxonomy (NCBI): domain Eukaryota; kingdom Metazoa; phylum Chordata; class Mammalia; order Primates; family Hominidae; genus Homo; species Homo sapiens. Next base: position 242,810,035 of record NC_000001.11, on the reverse strand, counting down.
ACTCCTGGTCTTTTCCCTTCAGCAACTTCTGTTTTTTCAAAGAGAAATCCTGTCAAGGAAACTTTCAGAGAAGACTGTTTATCACAACTAAATTGGAAATCACGGCAGCTGAGGAGAATGGCACCAGTCAAAATTTGACTGAACTAAAATACGGTACTAAGGGAATGAGGTCATCTTTCTTGTTAAAACATTCTTTATCTGGCCGGGTGCGGTTGCTCACGCCTGTAATCCTAGCACTTTGGGAGGCCGAAGTGGGCAGATCACGAGGTCAGGAGATCGAGACCGTCCTGGCTAACACGGTGAAAACCCATCTCTACTAAAAATACAAAAAATTAGCCGGGCGTGGTGGCGGGCGCCTGTAGTCCCAGCTACTCGGGAGGCTGAGGCAGGAGAATGGCGTGAACCCGGGAGGCGGAGGTTGCAGTGAGCCGAGATCGCGCCACTGCACTCCAGCCTGGGCGACAGAGCGAGACTCCTTCTCAAACAAACAAACAAACAAAAATCCTTTATCCGTGGCTTTAGATCAGTAGTACAGACTTAATCTGTTTTATGTTTGTGTTACAGGCAGGACAATCCACGGTTTTAGAAAGGTTTTTTAAAAGATAATTAGTTGTTCATGAAAAAAGTAGAACAATTACTCAAAGCTTAGGGTTTATTTTATTTTAGAGAAATGTGCAACATACAGAAACACAGAAAAATGAATTACCCCCAGATTAATATTTGCCTCAAAGTTCTTTTTCTTTTCCTGATTCCGTATATTTCACACCTGCCCAAGTTAGACATCATTGTGAATTTAGTGTGTATCTGGTCCATGTTTTTCTCATTTGACGATCTATAAACACACACACACATAAACACATTAATGTTTTTTAAAAAATTACACAAATATTATACCACATTTTATATTCTCCAGTTTTCATTCCTCACTAAAGATTCTGTTTTAGATATTTGTTTCTGTTGACATATTTGGATCCAGTTTTGTTTAACAACTATGGAATACTGCATATGCATGTATTACAGTTTATTCTTCTGTTGATGGGCATATATTTGATCTCCAATTTTTTCCCATTGCAAGTATAAAAGAAGAAATTTGTACCTGCAGCAATCCTTTCTTAGGTTATATCAAACCAAATGCTGTTTCACTGGCTGAGCATGGTGGCTCACGCCTGTAATCCCAGTACTTTGGGAGGCCGAGGTGGGTGGATCATTTGGGGTCAGGAGTTTGAGACCAGCCTGGCCAACATGGTGAAACCCCACCTCTACTAAAAATACGAAAATTAGCCAGGTATGATGGCGTGAGCCTGTAGCCCTAGCTACTCTGGAGGCTGAGGCAGGAGAATTGCTTGAACCTGGGAGGCAGAGGTTGTAGTGAGCCGAGATTGTGCCACTGCACTCCAGCCTGAGCAAGACTCCATCTCAAAAAAAAAAAAAAAAAAAAGAAAGAAAAGAAGTAATAAATAAACATTGGCACTGGTTTTAAATCTATTTAATCAGTGATAGGTCTGTAGCTATGATATTAAATAAACAGCAGCATTGTTTTTAAATCTCTTTATTAAATCAATGACAACTCACTTCAGTGAATACAGCCTCTGAAAGCTGCCAATCAGTGACAGCCTCATGCTTTGAAAGTCTACGAATCGGCATCAGATTCACTCCAGTTAATATGCTTCTAAGGCCGACGTATACTCCCATATCTGTAACTAACAAAAGGCATGCTTCTGTAGCCAACACAATCCATGCTTCTTAGACTAGCATCAATCCAGTCCTGCTTCTGTAACCATTACTACTCAACGTGAACTCTTCCCAAAGAACTTACCCTATGAGATGAGAAGTTTGTTTAATGAGCTATTTGACCAGCCTAGCTGTCTGCTTCTTGGTTTCAGATACTAAACGATGTTTTTCTCTTTCAACATTTACTACTAATTTATTTTAATCAACTCTGCATAGATATGTAGTCATTGTACCTTATCCAGGGTGCAAGCTTCAGTTTGTAATTAGCCTCCCTACCCCCACCAGAGAAATACTCAGTTTCTTGATTTACCTGTCTTCTCTTATATTGCAAGTAAACAAGTTCTTTTTTGGTCACTGTAGTGGTCCTTATCTTTTTTTTAAATATAAATAATATTGCAATGAACAATCACTTACAAGTCTTCCTATCTAGAAGTAGAACAGCGGAGTAGAAAGTAACATAGCTTTACTAGACCTTGCAAGATTGATCTCCAAAATAATATTCCTAATTTACAGCCACACCATTAATAGGGATGTTCTTACCAACACTTTGTATCGTTAGACTAAAATTGTTGCCAATCAAATGAGTATGAAATGGTAGCTTAATGTTCTCACTTTTTTTTTTTTCCCTGATTACCGAAGTGTGGTTGAGCTCCTTTGGCTGTTGATTAGCAATTTGGTTTTTTTTTCCTATGTGACTTACCTGTTCTTCAAAACCATTTTTCTATTGTATCATTCATCATTTTCTTATAAGTTTTAAGAGTTCTTTGTGAATTTTAGATACTAATCTTTGCCATATATACTGCAACTATTGTCACTTGTCTCAACTTTATTTTTCTTAAATCATAGCTGACAATTTAAATTGCTGTACGATCAATTCCAACAGTGGTATCCTTGTAATTTGTGCTTTCTGGGCTTTTAAGAAATCCTTCCCTATTTTGGAGCTATAAATACTTTCTTCTATATTTTTGACTGACAATTTTTTTCCATGTTTTGTTTCTTTTCCTTTTTTTTTTTTTTTTTTTGAGTTGGAGTCTTGCACTGTTGCCCAGGCTGGAGTGCAGTGGCATGATCTCGGCTCACTGCAACCTCCACCTCCCGGATTCAAGCGATTCTCCTGCCTCAGCCTCCCGAGTAGCTGGGATTACAGGCACCCACCACCATGCCCAGCTAATTTTTTTGTATTTTAAGTAGAGACGGGGTTTCACTATCTTGGCCAAGCTAGTCTTGAACTCCTGACCTTGTGATCCGCTTGCCTCAGCCTCCCAAAGTGCTGGGATTACAGGCATGAGCCACCGCGCCCGGCCCCACATTTTGTTTCAAAAAATCAATCTAGAGTTTATGTTTGTGTAGGGTGTGATATTATGAGATTTAAATTAATGTTTTTATATCGAAATGTAATTTTTCTGTGAATGAACTGTAGCTCTGCACAACAGGAATGAATCTTACAAAGTTGATGCTGAATCAAAGGAGTAGGTCACAGAAAGTAACCTTGACAGAATTTGCTAATAGATTGGATTTTAAAAAACTAACAAATTAAGAGAAAAAAGAAAACACTTTGAGGGCCATATTACGCATATTACATCATATCTAAAATGAACTGTAATATGGTTATCTTAGTAACACAATCCCTGTTTATTATAATGCATCAATTAAGGTAATGCATTACCATTTACAAAGCACTTTCACAAGAATGATTGTATTTCAAAGCAAGGCTTACCATAGTGATTCCCAAACCATGGGGCCAGCAGCATCAGCATCACTTGGGAGCTTGTCAGAAGTGCAGAATCAGAAGCTCCAGCCGAAACCTAAATAAGCAGAATCTGAAGCTTAACAAAAGTCCCCTGGGGTTGTTATACACATTAACATCTGAGAAGCTATGGGCTGGAGAATTTATTTGTAAGAAGCTCTCAGATGCTCTTAACAACGAGCCAGGCTTCAGGACAACTGGCCCATAGCATCTTTCTTCCAGGAAGTCCCAATATTTGCCATACATACCATTAATCTTAATCTTCAAAACAGCTCCTTCTGCCTACTTTTCTCCTTTGTAGAAAATAAGGAGGCCATATCTACACACACACAAAGAAACTGGTGACGCTGAGATACTCAGATGAAGAGTGATCCGGTTTCTATGGTCAACTCTTGCCTTCTACTAAGTCAGCTGTCATGGTCCTGGTGATGGGAATATCCTTAACTGGGGAAGTATATATGGAAGTCAACTTCTTTGCCAGCTAACCCACACATAAAAATCCCCAACCAAGTGTTTCAAATTGGTTAGAATGCCTCTTGATACAGTATTTATAGGGTGGATTTTATTGATAAAATATTTGTAGTAATAAATCTGTGTAATTTGCAAACTCTATAAAGGTCTAAAGACCCACCTCTTTAGCCAGAGAACATTTTCATTCTTGCTTTCTCTGGTAGGGAAGATTTTTGATTGACAAATGCCTTGGGGTTGGACTAAACAGAAAAAAACAAACAGCTAATGAGTATCCTTCTGCTTTGGTTTGCTTATTCATTTTGCTACAGATCAATCCTGAACTAGACTCTCTATTCTAAAGCATCATTCACTGTGTTGGAAAATCATTAATTAATTGAACTTGGGCACCTCCTTATTACTAATTATTCTTCTGCCTAAAGAAGAGACCCATTATTTTCTCATCACTCCCAGGGCTGCATGTCAGAGAACATCCCATTTAACCAATTTTAAGCTATTAGCCAGAACTGATTTGCTAAAATGATGAAGCTAATGATATGTTGGGGTTGATGACTTACTGCCCATAGGAGATAGCACTTGATTGATAATGAGGAAATGGAAATTCACTCCCTGGGCTATCACTGTGCCTAATTAATATCACATTATTTAGTGAATTGCACCTTAGAAAAGAAATGCTGAATGAAAACTTGTAGTGAAATGCAAAAACCAACGTTAGGTAATTAAAGAACCAACTCTATTCTTATTTCTGTTTTTATGATTGTCTAACCAACTCTGAACATGGGCCTTTATCCCTGTATCTAAAGCGTTCGTTAGCACATTTATTAAGTGTCTGCCTAGTTTCTCTTATCTACTACAACCATTTAATTTCTTCTCCAAGTTTAAAGAAAATGTTTTCATCAATTAGGCAAGAAATCAATTATTCAATGTGACCATTTTTAGAGCCTGTGCATCTTCTTTGTTTTTGACAGTGGAGAGAAATAAATGCCACATTTATAGTTTTAAAACAAAGACTTATAGCTTCTTGAGGTTATGAGTCTATAGGCCTAGCTCAGGCAGAAAAATACAAGAAGAGTTCAAAAATATTGTTACGAATTGAGCTATGCCTTGGCTGCATGAAAAGCACCTTCCTCCTTTACTGTTTCTATAAATGTCTAGGAAATGAAGTGGCTGAATGCATGACTTAATTTGATGAATAAGAGATATAATGTTTCATGATTAGTAATGCATTCTTCTTATTATAATTGCCCTAAAATGATCTTATTCTCTGTCACCTCGGACAGTGTAATAAGACAGGAAACAATCAATACTTTCATGTGTGGGATATATTGGGTAAAGTGTGGCCATAACCTCCTGACTTATCTTTTACTGGATTATTTTTCATTCCTCAATTTAAAGTGTTTGAAAAGAAAGCTTATAAGGTAAAAAGTAAAATAGTCCTGGCCGGACGCGGTGGCTCACGCCTGTAATCCCAGCACTCTGGGAGGCCGAGGCGGGTGGATCATGAGGTCAGGAGTTGAAGATCAGCCTGACCAATATGGTGAAACCCCGTCTCTACTAAAAATACAAAAATTAGCCAGGCACGGTGGCAGGTGCCTGTAATCTCAGCTACTCGGGAGGCCAAGGCAAGAGAATTGCTTGAACCTGGGTGGCAGAGGTTGCAGTGAGCTGAGATCATGCCACTGCAACTCCAGCTTGGGCTACAGAATGAGACTCTGTCTCAAACAAACAAATAAAACAAAACAAACAACAAAAAAGTAAAATAGTTCTTGCAACCCTTATATCTCATCCTGGAAGAGAGAATTTAGACTCCTCTGGATCAGCAATGATTCGTAAGCATCCCATAGCAACACAGATTATGACTGAGTAGAGAAGCTTAGCCTTTGGCCTGCCTATATGATATATAGCCAGTGATAAGGCCACTTAATGGCACTCTGGTACCATAGAGTAAAACAGCACCAGGTATTTGCACCTGCTGCCACATGGCTTTTGGGTTTGGTGCAACATTCTCTCATAGCTACACTTGAGGTTGGAACCTTGGTTTCTCTTCTAAGAGACTCTTAATTTAGAGATGAACCCAGACAAACTCCTGAGTCTCATCATGTGACAGTGAGGGGCAAGGGTTGACCCAGTTATGTTTTAGGACAATATCTCCAAGGTAGGGTTCTCAAACCTCCTGCCTCAGAGTCCACAGAACTTTGAGAATGGCAAGTCTAAAAAGCTCCCCATTGGACCCTAATGCACATTAAATTTTGAGAAGCGTTGCTTCAGGAAGTAAAGTGAATAGTCAGAGATCACCAATGGCCCAGGAGAGATGGCTACTCCCACCAAGGATGTATGAAACTTATGGGCATTAGCTGCTCATCTGATGGACTCTGGATTCTGGTCACTGCCTCCTGATGATCCCATGCTATTCTTTTGGGGATTGCAGCAGGTGCGGTTTTTGGGGCTTGGATATTTGGCAAGTTCTATGGCCTGAATGTTTGTATCCCCCCAAAATTTGTATGTTGAAGCTCTAATCCCCAATGGGATAGTATGTGTAGGTGGAACCTTTGGGAGGCAATTAGGTCACAGGGTGGACCCTCATGGATGGGATTAGTGTACTTATTAGAAGAGACATGAGAGAGATGATCTCTTTCACTGCCACATGAAGACACAATGGGAAGACAGCCTCTGTAAACCAGGAAGAGGGCCCTTGCTAGAATCTAATCATTCTGGCACCCTGATCTCAGACTTGCAGCCTCCAGACCTGTGAGAAATAAATTTCTGCTGTTTAAGCCATCAGTCTATGGTATTCTATTATAGCAGACTGAGCTGACTAAAACAGTAAGTAAACAACAAAACCACAAAAGGAAAAAAAATCTTTGGTATGTATGAGTGTATAGATTCAGATAAATCAATCAATTACTCTATTGATATATCATCTATCACCTATCGATCTATTATCTATCCATCTATCTATCAATCATCTATCTATATCTTTCTAATATTTTTAGATAGATAGCTGTCTTTTCCTTATAACTGAAAACCGAGCTGTTCGAGTTAGCTTTAGATTTTAAGGCAGCTTAAATCTTAAATTGTATATGTTTATACACGGAAGTCTGGAATTACGTAAAAAATCAGTGTTTTATGATTCTCTTCACTTTCTCTCTGTAGCCTTAGGACTAGAATTGTTCTAGTCTGCTTCATCTTAAGACCTAAGAAGAGTAGCTCTCTCCTCCCTGATCTACGTAAAATGACTGTCTGGAACAGACAGAAGTACAGCCCTTCTCTCTGGAGCAACTTTCTGTGTTTAGTAGAGACTTCTCTTCTATGGCTGTCTGCCTGGAATCAGCTGTGAAATGACGAGTCTGGACTAGAGGAGACAAACTATTTTGTGAAGCTGTCACCCTGTCTGAACTTCTGAAAGGCCTTTGACTTTGGAGTTTCGTTTCTTTCCATGACCCTATCCATGTGACTGCCTTAGGTTGTCACAGAATGAGTGATTCAACATAGAGACTTCCAGGAATCTGGACTCTCTGAGTATCATTTACATAGAAATACGTTTAAACCCTTTAGCCACAAGCATTACCGGGCCTATCAGTGGATGAATGGCCCTACCCACTGTTAATCAATGAGCCAACGATGCCCTCTGTGAATCGGCCCCTAGGTTGTTTGTTTCTTCACTGGAGGTTGAGACCAATTATCTCAAAAGCTTTCTGGTGCCAAACTCAAATTTTAATACATCAAATTGTTTTAAACATAACACACAACAAGCAGATTTTTAGCCAGGTACACTTTGCCTCTTTTGCACACCCTGTGAAACCTATCTTCTGCTTGCCATTGATAAACTAGAGCCTATGGCCATAAGATCCCAAGCTGCTACTGCCCTTAAGAGCTCTCTGACTCAGAGACGCCCTGCTGCACTGCTGAGCAACATCATCTAGTAAGTCCCCTCTCCCATTCCCTTTCCCCTGGGAATTCACTTGCCCTCCTCCTTGACTGGTGGCCCCTTTGCTGTGAGCCTCAGGACAGTCTTATGCCATAGGAGACTTTCACTATCATTCAATTCTGCCCAATAAAGCTTGTCATGCATTGCTATCATATCCTTCTCCTTGATCGGTCAGGAAATCCCTTGAACCCTATACCCTGCTACCAGGGTTTGTGTTATAGGGCAACATGATCTATCCTGGGGAGCTGGGAAAAGCTTTCATAAAGAATAGACATTTGAGCTGTGATCAGCCTTTCTTAAAGAATAGATATTTGAGCTGTGACCTAAGGGATGGGTAGGGCTTAATCAGGTTCAGGGGAGAGGAAATATTCCAGGCAGAAGATGATTTTATCCAAAGACCATGAGCTGAGAATGGCTTCTTTGCTGGAAGGTGAAGTGTAAATAGGGAAAGTGTGAAAAGTCAAGGTCAGTGAGATGTCTGTATTATGCAGGCTCTTGTCAACAAGCAAAGAACTGTACGTGTGTGCATCTCACACTTTGAAATGAGGAGGAGGTAGCAGCATTTACCTGTTGCCTCTGGAAACTATCTGGGGGCCCAAAGTCCTGGGAGCTCATCTGGATTTACTTTGGAGAGATTATTCAGATTTTAACCCAGAGAGACATATCAAGTTCTTTGATGAAAGAGCACGGAACCAAGCAGAGATTGTTGTGAATTCATGGCATATAGGGCCTAGCTGTCCCTAAGATGCATTTTGTTGAGTTATATGATATTATTAAAAAAGAAATTTGAATAGCTTGCTGTCATTAAAGAATTGGGACATTTCTTATAAAATATGAATATCTGGCTTCCTTTGAAAAATTAGAAATTTAGAAACGCTGATATCACATTCTAGCATGAAACCAATTTGCTGGAGAGGAATAATGGCAGTCACCTTAGCTGGTGCCTGCTGAATTCATTTCTCTATAGTCTCCCTGTCTCCCTTAGAACCTTACTCATGCCATCTTCTTGGCCTGGTAGGCATTTGAGTTTATTACCTCAGAACTGGAGGGCCATCATTTCCTTCTACTCTTGAGGGCAGGGACCATGGTCTTTTAAAAAAATTTTAAAAATATTTTTAGTAGAGACAGGGTTTTGCCATGTTGGCCAGGCTGGTCTCAAACTCCTGGCCTTAGATGATCCACCCACGTCGCCTCAGCTTCCCAAAGGGCTGGGATTACAGGCGTGAGCCAATGCCCCTGGCCAGGAACCATGGTTTTTTGCTGTCATATTCTTGGTGTCTAGCACTGTCCTTGGCACATTATAGATATTGATTAAAACGTGTATGAAAGCTAGGAAGTGAGCTAAAGATTATGTGAGTTAACAGGAGGCCTCTAGCTTTCTAGTAGGCATTGGATCAAGGCCAAATTCGTGGTGCTGTCAGGCTCATCTGTAGAGCTATTCAGTGAGGACTTGAAACTCTCAGTTCTCCCACTTAGCATTAAGGTGACCTGGAAAGAAGGTCATCTTAACCATCTTAACTGAAGGTTTCAGTGCTGTAGTCAATTTACTTGTAATCTTGTAAAGAAATCTGACAGTTTTGCTGGGAAGTTACCAACATTAGTAGGGAAGGAAGGATGCTATGCACAGTAAGAAGTTTAAACAGGCTCCTTGCTCCAGATATCTTCTTAGGAAGAACCAAGATGGAATTACAACAAAAGGGAATTAAGATGTAACATCAGCATATGTTTTGAGTCTGTGGAAGCAGCATCATTGGAAGTATTTAAATATACAGAACCTAATGCTAAAATGTAAATTATACAATACAGAATGAATATACTGGCTTTTTATGAGTCTTCTTCTGTCATGTTATGTTTATGTAAATTTCCTATCCCACAGCAAAGCCAAAAAATGCATTACTTGGCTTTACTAAATGGATTGACTTAATCTGATTTTATTTGTAAAATGTGTTCATTATGAAATTTATGGTTTTACAAAGTATAAAGAAGAAATAAAAAATGACCACAAAAAAACATAGTCTAATGTAAGTGGTTAAGACTCTGGAATCAAATTTTCTGGGTTAAAATCCTGGTTCTACCATCTAATAATTATGTGACCTTGTGCAAATCAATTAATTTGGGCCTCAGTTGAGTCATCTGTAAAATGGGTATCATGGTATGTATCTCATGGAGTTGTTATAAAGATTATAAGAATTAATATCTGTAAAGTACTTATAAAAAATAGTGTCTGCCATACAGTAAATAACATGTTTTTGTGAAACAAGTTAGGTAGAAAAATAACAGGTAAAATTTTTGTTTACGTAATTCCAGACTTCTGTGTATAAACAGATACAGTTTACATGATCATATTCTTAAATGAATATGCTTGTTCCAAATAAAATTTTATTACTATATATTTTGGTAAGTTTATTTATAACAGTTTTAATACACAGTCATTTTATAATAATTTAAAACATTTTATTTTATATTATGAAATATTTTACTAAGGAACGTTTTAAATGCACGTGTAAAGAATAAAAGAAAATGTAACAAAGTTAAAATTTTTTGATAAATGCTTTACATATCTTTGGTTGGGTTTATTTCAAATTTTATCTTGCTTTTGTGTATGACAAACTAAAAATTACATTTCCTGACTATTAATATAGTATATAAATACAATAAAGTTAACATCAATCTTTAAATTTTTAGGTTTTGTTATTAAGTATTGACTTCTGTAGTGCTTCTTAGGATTTTCTGTATAAACCATCATTTAATCTGTAAGAAAATTAGTTTTGTTTATTTCTGATCTTAATATCTTTTTTTTGTTTTCTTATTGTACTACTAGGTCCTTTAGCATTTTGTTGAAGAGGGCATCTTTGTCTTTTGCTTTATTTATTTATTTATTTTTGAGACAGAGTCTCACTCTGTTGCCCAGGCTGGAATGCAGTGGCATGATCTCTGCTCACTGAAACCTCCGCCTCCCAGGCTCAAGCGATTCTCTTGCCTCAACCTCCTGAGTAGCTGGGATTACAGGTGCTCGCCACCACGCTCAGCTAATTTTTGTATTTTAAGTAGAGACAGGGTTTCACCATGTTGGTCAGGCTGGTCTTGAACTCCTGACCTCAAGTGATATGCCCGCCTTGGTCTCCCAAAGTACTGGGATTACAGGTGTGGGCCACCGTGCCCAGCCCCTACTTAATTTTTTTTAGTTAACAGGACTGCTTTCAACATTTTAGCATTAAGCTGATCTTTGTTCTAGGTTTTTGGTAGATATCCTTTATTAGGCTTAGGAATTCCCATAGATTCCTAATTTGATAAGAGTTTTATTTCTTCTATTCCCAGCATGCGTGAATGCATGTAGAATTTGACATATGTATATTTTTCTTTGTCTGTGAGATAATCATGCCATTTTTCTCAGTCTGTTAATGTGATGGATTATATTTTTTCGAATGTTAATTCTAGCTTGCATTCTGGTCAAGTAACCACACTTGATCATCATGTATTATGATTTTTGCATGTCTTTATTGTCATGTAAACACATGCAAAGATCATAATACAAAATAAAAACTAATTTTTCTTTTATTTACAAATCTTGTTTTAATTAGGAATTAAGGATACATACCTGCATTGTAAAATAAATGTAAGGGTAGGCTCTCTTTATAGGTTTCTCTGAATTGTTTTTAAGGTCTGGGCACACATGTTTCTATAACCCATTTTGCTTAACTACTGTGCACCTCTCCCATATTTGGGTATATGTTTTTAAATTGTTCTTTTTAATGGAGGCGTAATTATTTACTGATGGGATATCAATCTTGTCGATCCACAGTGTGAGAGATGAGACATTTCAGCTGATTTTTTTAATATTACAAACAAAAGTTCACCATTCCATGCTCTTGCTCCTCTGTTTTAGATGGTAATTTCTAAAGAATGAATCTATTTGACTTTCACATCTCTCAAATTAGTAAATAATGTATCTTTATCCCTCTGACAGATCACTCTGATTCTGAATGTTATCAAGGCAGAATGAGTGCAGAAGTGCAATTTCTGAATTTGTAATGAAATAGCCTCTGAATGAGGGAAAACATTTATAACCTAGTATTCAAGTCCTAGCTTAGCCTATTGTCAGAGTAATTTATAACAGCCCAACCACCTCCCTGCCCTGCCAGTTGTAACTGCTATCATTGATGGTCTTCTGATTACTTCCCATTTTCTAGGCTGTGTTAAGTTATAGTATCATTGGTATACCTAATTATAATATTTTCACTATTCCTCACCTTTTCTTTTTAAATCTATCTATATCTACAGATCTATCTATCTATCTATCTATCTATCTATCCATCCATCCATCCTATTTTGTGTAATGGAGTAGTGGAAAAGGATGTGAAGGAGTGGAAAAAAAGCAAAATATTTCCACATATCCTGAAATCCTATCAACAAAAGAGTTATTAAGCTTAAGGAGCACCCAGTTTTAAAATGAAAAAAAAAAAAAAAAAAAACTTCTGGAAACTTAAAAGCTATCAGTTATTTCCACATGGGGGTAAATTAATTGCTAAGTGAGTTCAGGCCCATCTGTATTGGCCCTTACCCTAGTGTCACTGGCAGACACAAAATCATCCTTCAACATCCAGTTCAAATGCCGTCTCTTCTAGGATACCACCTCTGCTCATTGAAAGACGGTGTTTGGTGGAGAGGAAGACGAAAGATTTGGGGAGCATGGGTACTACCTGAGCGGAGTCTGACACCATTGATGGACTCAGGTTCCTACATTGTTGAGGCCCGGTGAGAGAAGAAGAGAGAAATACAGGGGAGGAAGGGAAATCTAAAATTACAAACTTGAGCTACTCCAAAAACTTTTCTGGCATCAGCCCTGAACATGCCACTAAATCTTTGAAATCTTATGCTGCCCTTGGTAATAGCAGCTAACGCCACCAAACAGCGCTGTGAATTGAGTGTCTCTCTAAATGGTCATGGAACACAGGAAAGATTTTAACTTAGGGAACAGGGACAGAGTAAGTGGCTCTGAAAGTGATGTGGAGTGAAGACTGGAGTACATCTGGTAGGACTGAAGCACTCCAGAAAATTCACTCACGCTCAGAGGAGGAGCAGACTCCACGCTCCATGCTCTTCAAAGTCAAGGAAAGGCTCTGGAGGACTTGCAAGTTAATAAATATAACACACACAGCTAATCAGAGAAGCTGTCCTTTTTCCTCAGTTAGAAAAATCTCTTGAACCTCAAGCCTAATATAGTGTTTGAACTCTCAAGATTTTTGCCATCTCGTTATAATTTGGGTTTGCCAAAGTGATGTTGGAAAGCATAATTACAGGAGGGAGGGCAGGCAAGAAAAGTTCTATACCTTTTATTGTTTAAGGTCTGAATATCTGTGAGTGATGACAGAAAAATAGGTAGTCATAATGTTAGAAATTGTGATTTTAAACCACATTAGTATGTTAAGTTTTTCCAACATTAATGGGGCTCAGATCACTGCTAATCCTGTGTCCCCAGGAAAAGTGCCCAGCCCTCAGATTATCTTAGTGCTCAAAGGGCAGGTATTAAATAGCCCCTGAAAAATCCAATAATGTTGGATTTTATACTCTTGGGTATAAAACTCAAGAAATTTATGAGCTTTTCTCATACTTGCAAGTTAAGCAAAATAAACTAGCTTTCCCTTTTATTTTTCAGAGTTGAAAAGTAAGTCAAACCGAACACATTTGGAGAGCAGTATAGTGGAATAAACTCTGCTGTGGAGAGCTGTTGGGCTAACAACAACAACAAACAGAAAACAAAAACGAAACCCACAATTTTTAATTCATTTCAGGGCTTACAAGAAATTAAAGACATCTCTAAAGTTCCGTACTTTCCCCACCAAAAAATGAGTTAACTAGAGAAAGAAGATATAAGCAATAAACAAAAATAAAATTTTTTAGAAAGATATGGGATCTCACTATATTGCCCAGGCTGGAATACAGTCACTATTCACAGGAAGAATCATAGCATATTATAAGCTTCAAGCTCCTGAGCTCAAGTGGTCCTCCTGCCTCCGCCTCTGGGGTAGCTGAGATCACAGGTGCATGTCACCATGCCCGGCTTAAATGATGAATTATTTTAGGGATAATTTCAATGTCATCCCTGTGACTAGGAGTCTAATCTTTGGGCCAGCAGCAAAACAGGGGAGCTAAGATAGAGAATTCCACATTAACCCTGAAACCTTAGAAGGAAGCTGAAATGATTATAACTCAGTGATGCTCTCCCAGAGCCTGGGCAGAAGAAAACACAGATCCTTTTGGAGAGAAGGCCTCTAAGGTTTCCATGGACAAAATCAACCAAATACTACCTCACAGTCATTCATCAACAAACACACAGGGAAACAGCGTTAAGAAGAACATAAAACATTTAGGTCTCAAAGACTTTGGATATTGGACTAACAAATACAGAATATAAGTTAATTATGTATAAAATATCTAAAGAAATACAAGATTGCATTATGAAAATAAGCAAGAAACAAAAGGCTTTACAAAATGAGGAGGTGGATTGGAAAAATAAAATGTAAAAATTTTAAAATAAAAATATAATTGTTGAAGTAAGACATTCAATTATTAGATTAGATACAGCCAAAAAATAATCAATGAAATAAAAGAGAGCTCTGAAGGACTTACCCAGAATGCAGCAGGGAGAGAAAAAGAAATACAAATATGAAACAGAGGTTGGCCAAGTACATGGCTCATGCCTGTAATCCCAGCACTTTGGGAGGCCAAGGCTGGTGGATCACTTGAGGTCAGGATTTTGAGACCAGCCTGGCCAACATGGTGAAACCCCATCTCTACTAAAAATACACACACACACACACACACACACACACACACACACAAATTAGCCAGGCATGGTGGCACGTGCCTGTAGTCCCAACTCCTCAGGAGGCCGAGGCACAGGAATCGCTTGAACCTAGGAGGTGGAGGCTGCAGTGAGCCGAGATCATGTCAGTGCACTCCAGCCTAAGCAACAGAGGGAGGCACTGTCTAAAAAAAGAGGTTAAGAGCTATGGAGGACAGAGTGGGAATATCTAACAGGCATCTCATCAAAGGAGGAAATAGCGAGAATGACAGAACGGCAAAATCTGAAACGTCAATAGCTGAAAAATTTCCACAACAATATGCACACAGGAGAATAAATAAAGAAAAACTCATGATTTATAATGAAACACCAAAGACAAACGGAAGAGCATAAAAGCAGATGGGGAGACAAGACAGATGATGGAAATAGATTGCTAGAGGTGTTCTGCACAGTAACAACGGAATCTTGAAAAGAATGGATTAATATCTTCAGTGTGCTGAGTGAAAATAACTACTAATCTCGAATTACAAGCCCGGGAAATCTCTTTTAGGACCTAGTGCAAAATGAAAACATTTTCAAAAATAGAAAAATATGAGTTTACCACCGACAGACTCTCACTAAAGGAAATTCCAAATGATGCTTTAGGAAGAAATCAAAGGATCTGAGGAAGAATTTTCTGAGATCCAAGGAGTATGGGTGCAAAGGAATTGTCAAACCTGTAAGTAAATCTATACTAGCATTGTTAAGATAATTTATAGAGTTTAAAAATGGAATGAACCAATATTCTTAAAAAGAGCAGGGGAGGATATGATAATTAAAATTCAACAGGAAAGATATGAGAATTAAAAAGTTCTAAAATATTATTGTGGAAAGTGGTTAGATATTAATTTTTATCTTGCTACAAGGAAGTATTTATGGTAAACATTTTAAAGAAAAACCATTAAAATAATAAAAACATATAAAGATACAAAATGGAAATATGCTGATCGAGTAGCTGCTTCACTAGCATGGGAAGACAATCCCCCTTTCCCAAAAGAGGCCTTCATATATTTGTGATTTTCTATTTTTCCTCCTTAATCCCATAAAGGGAAAGGGACAAAAATTTAAAAAGTGAAAGGCCAGCCCTGCTTTAATAAAGCTGAGAGATGCAGAGAGTTAGATGTGAGAAAATAAGTATTTATGCAAAAAAATTATACTTCATTTTACGGAAAAAATAACCATGGAATTACTTCCTTAACCACGAATTAACATTGCTAGAAGTTAACTTGTATAAATTAACTTCTATAGATCAACTTCTACAAGGGCATTCTATAATGCGCTTTATATATTATATATAAAATTTATATATAATATATAAAATATATATAATATAATATAATATATATAATATAATATACATAATATAATATAAAATATATATTATATATAATATATTATATATAAATACATAAAATATATTATATAAAATATATATTTATATTTATTATATATTTATATTTAAATATATATTATATATAATTATATATAAGAATATATATAATATATATTTTTATATATAAGAATATATATAATATATATTCTTATATATATAAAACATATATTTTTACTTAAGATTTGCTTTATTTTTAACAGTTGTGAAGTATAGATTGCAAAAAGTACATAAAAGCATATATGTGGGGTTTGAAGACCAATAATAAAACAAATATCATGTGCCTGCAAACAATGTTAGAAAATGAATTATACTGTAGGAGCTCTCTGTGTGCATTCTTCAATTGCATTATACTTCATATCCACCAGAGGTAGTAATTAGCTGAATTTTGTTCCCTGGTGTTTTCCACTGTTATTACTATACATTTTTATATCCCTATGCAATATGTCGATTAATTCTGACTGAATTATAGAATTGCAATCAAACCTATGTAGATTTTCTATAACTGCTTAATATGATGTTTTAAAAATTATCCATATTGATATTTGTGTTTATAATCCATTCATTTTCATTGCTGTATGTTGTTCAGTTTATGTATATAAAAGTTATTTATTTATTTCAACCTACAATTGGTGAGCATTTGAGCTGATTGCCATTTATTGCTGCAAATAATATTATTAACTAAAATACTTGTGCATGTTTCCTTAATGAACATGTGCAAGAATCTTTCTGATGTATGCATGAAACTGCTGTGTCATAGGGTGTATACATGTACAACTCAATGTCTTACTGTTATCAGGATTCATTTATTACTCATGCTACATGTTCAGTACAAGTCAGTTTGGCAGGATTCTTAATGCTGTCTTCACATAAGGACTTTTATTACATAATTTTCACAATCTGGAAAGTTACTTGCCAACATGGAAGATAAAGAAAAAGTGGAAAATTATACCTTGCTTCTTAAATTTTAGTATCCAGAAATAAAATGTATCACTTCTGTTCACATTACATTGGCTTAAAGCAAGTTTCATAGTCACATCTAGTTTCATGGGAGCAGGGAGTTCTATTCTTATTGTTTGACTGGATGGAAGACAACTGGTAATATTGGTGGGGATCTCTAATATCTACCGTAGCCCGCCATCTAGACACCAAATATTTGGCTCAATCTCCTTCACTCATACAGAATACATAAATATCCTTCCTAAGGGAATCAACACAAAAGTCTTGTCCAGTCATGGCACAGAGCTCAAAATTCATGATTTCTGGGTGACAGGCAACAGTGCCTATATGAGGGGTTATATTAGGGAGCGGAAGGTGGAAGGTGTTATCAGTTGAATTGTGTCCAGTAAAAAGATATGTTGAAATCCTAATCCCTGGTGCCTGTGAATGTGACCTTGTTTGGAAATAAGGTCTGTGCAGATGTAATCAAGTTGTGATGAGGCCATACTGAATTCGGGTGGTCTTAATCCAATGACTGGTGTCCTTATAAGAAGAGTAGAAGAGATAGATGCAAAGGAAGAATGTCATGTGACAATAAAAGCAGAGATTAAAGTGCTGGGGCTGCAAGCCAAGGAATGCTGAGGCTCACTGGAAAACCATCAGAGCCAGGGAGGGAGAAAGGAGGATTATCCCTCTAAGCTTCAGAGAGCATGTGGCCCTGCTGACCCTTGATTTCAGCTGTCTGGTGTCCAGAACAGTGAGACAATACATATCTGTTGTTTTGAGCCACTCAGTTTGTGGTGCTTTGTCACAGCAGCCCTAAGAAACTAACACAAGTGGGTAATAAACATTTGTTTCTACGTCAGGTCAGATGTAATTCCTCTTGAACTAGAAACGTATGAGCTGAAAAGATAGGCTCTCACTCCCTCCCCTACCACCAACACACATTTACCCACTGTGCAGTGCTGGAGCAGAGATGTGACAGGGCAAGTGTGCTCTGCACGGGGAAGGAAGAACTGAGTATGTAGTGACCCGTGGGGTGGAATGTGGTAGACATGACCGCTTCACTGCTATCCAGCTTCCCTTTCCTTTCAGTGCATTAGGATTGTTTTTCATGTCTCTTTGAAGTGAGTCATAGTCATGGAACTGGTTCTAGCAAATGGGTTTGGGTGGAAATCATTGGTCCACGACTTTCCAGCCATCATGAAAACACTTTTTAAGATAAAGCCTTCATCAGACTGAGTCCCAGAGTGACTCTGATAAACAGAGCTCCCTTATCCACCCGCATGAGGCATGCAAAATGAATGGGAAATCTTTGTTGCTTTAAGCCACTGAGGTTTGGGGTTGTTAGTCACCACGGCAAAACCTAGCTGATGCAGACAGATGAAATGAGCATGTAACTCAATGGTCTACTCTTGTAATTACAGTTGATCCTTGAACAACGTGGGCTAGAACTGTGTAGGTCCACTAGCACGTAGATTTTGTTCTGCCTCTGCCATCCCTGAGACAGCAAGACCAACCCCATCTCTTTCTCTTCAGTCTACTCAATGTGAAGATAATGAAGATGAAGACCTTTATGATGATCCACTTCCTCTTAATAACCAGTAAATATATATTCACTTCCCTCCGATTTTCTTAATAACATATTCCTTTCTTCAGCTTACTTTTTGTTAGAGTACAGTATATAATACACATAACATATAAAATGTGTATTACTTGACTATGTTACGAGTCAGGCTTCTAGTCAACAGTAGGCGATCAGTAACTAAGCTTTTGGGGAGTCAAAAGTTATACATGGATTTTCACCTGCACAGGGAGCTGGTGTCTCTAACCTCTTGTTCAAGGGTCAACTGTATTGCATTTTATTATAATAAAATAAATTAGTATCTGAATCTGATTTCTATTATCTAAATCATAATATTACACCATTTATTCTTCAGAATGAACTTCTTTGGTCCAGGAATGTAATGACTTCCCATCTAACTTTCTGTTCACTTCACTGGGCTTTATTGTTACCATTATCACTTGCACCCATTCATATATTTATTGAATGCTTGCTATATGTCAGGCACTGTTTTAGACATTGGCATTTAAAGATTAAGAAGACATAGTCTCTGACCTTAAGTAATTCACTGTTTAAAGAGGTAGACAAACATGCAAGCACTTTGCATCATTGCAGAATGAGAAGTTCTACATAAATCTTTTTACTGTCTATCCTCCTGGGTCAATGGGTCAGGCCTGCTGTGAGCTGCCTTTGGGAGCACATTCCTAGTGTGAGAAGTCATTGTTGGGTGCAAATGGCCAGGGTCTTGGATGGATAACAAGGGAGGTCATAACACATGATTATTTATAGAGACCCAGTGTTAAGAAAAAAGATTGCCATGAGAATCAAGAAACCAAACATTCTGAGTCTTGAACAGGCAAAATCACCCTAGGAGGCAGAGCCAGGTCTGAGCTAATGCAGTGGGCAGGGCAAGTTAGGCGTGGCCCAGCAAGTCATGCTGGAGAGAGGGACTGGGGACCAGCAGAGATTATTGAAGGAACCAAGGTGGGCTTGACACTTTCCCAAAGTGTTACAAAAGCTAAGAGGAAGTGAATGGCTGTTTAAGGATGACTAGGGATTTCCCAGTAATCAAACAAACAGGATGTATTTCCAGATAGATAAGTGATATGGTTTGGCTGTGTCCCCACCCAAATCTCATCTTGAATTATAATTCCCGTAATCCCCACATGTCATGGGAGGGACCCAGTGGGAGGTAATTGAATCATGGCGGTTTCTCTCATGCTGTTGTCATGATAGTGAGTGAATTCTCATGAGATCTGATGGTTTTATAAGCATCTGGCATTTCCCCTGCTTGTACTCATTCTTTTCTGCTGCCCTGTGAAGAAGTGCCTTCTGTCGTGATTGTAAGTTTCCTGAGGCCTTCCCAGCCATGTGGAATGTGAGTCAGTGAAACCTCTTTTCTTTATAAATTACCCAGCCTCAGGTATTTCTTCATAGGAGTGTGAGAACGGACTAATTCAACAAGGAATGTCAAAAACCATGGTGGGCAGGGGAAAGGAACATGAAATACTCCCTAAGACTAAAGTAGAGTTTGTGGAGATGGCATGGGGGAGCTGGAGATCCAGACAATTGCAAAGAACATTGTAAAAGAGGGCAAAGAGCTTGGACTTGATTTTAGAGACAATAGGAAGCCGAATGAAGTTTTTAAGCAGTTGTGATCTGAGTTGTTCTTTTAGCTGGAGTAATTTCGCAGCCTCATGGAGAAGCAGCTGGTATGAGGGGGTCTGTGGCAGGACAGCTGGGCAGAGGGACCCCGCAGTATCCAGAAGGAGACAGTGAGGGGCTGGAGCAGGCAGTGGTGCCAGCACTGGGGAGGAAAGACCAGAAAATAAATACATTGAAGATTTGATGCCTAACTTAATGTGGGGATAAGGAAGACATTGGTAAATTATGCAGATCACCACTTCAAAAAATGATGATAAAAACCAGGACTGGAAGTCAAATATCTCAGTTCCAATTCTAGTGCAGCAACGAACTGGCTGTTTGACATTAAGAAAATCACTTTACCTCTCTGAGTTTATTTATCAAAGGAAGGAGTTAGCTGGAAAAATCAAAATGTTCCTTCCAGATTGAAAATCCTATTTTAAGCTTTTTTCCCTTCACTATACTTAGTTCTAAAATCAGTGAGATGTGAAACCCCTGCTGTTTTTCTCTAAAGTAAACATAGATGTATATATATATGTATCTCACATTGTCTTAAAGACCCTGAGGGTCTAACATTTATTGAAAATGTTATGAGACAAATGATGAAGCCGATGACTTGCCCATGGAATTTGACCTTGATAAAACAGCACATCATAAACAGACTTAGGGAGAGGAGATGAGGGGAGTTCAGAGATAAGCCAGGAAATATGAACTGGGCAAGACCGTTAAAAATTGAAACAGTGTTTCTCGGTTGCTGTATTTGTGGAAAGCTTGTGGGTTACAGAAATATTGAACTTCAATGCTTGAACCAAACAGGTAATGAAACTAATTGGTTTTTAAGGTGTTTGGTCATGCATATCTTCCTCATCATTTTAGAAGGTTCTAGTTCCTTCTAGTGGATAGTTTATAAAATCTTTAAATACAGGCTTCATGATCTGAGGTGAGTTCCACAGTACAGTACAGTAAAAGTGGCCACAAGCCACACATTTAATGGGACTGATTAGAAATTAAAAAATGTAGCCATTTCTCTTCATCACATTGCCAGCTGATCTCCTGATGAATGTTTTATGTTAATGTGTGGATGTTCTTTTTGGTCTACCTCATTTAGCGAAGCAGCTTGAAAATTTTTCATCCCACATTTCAAATATTTTGTTCCAAGGATACTGAATAATGAAATGTGCTCCTCAGCATCTTAAATAATAAATCCGTTTATTCATGAGGCAATCAATTTTGTAAACTTCATGTAATTTAGGTTTTTCCGATGTAATGTGAGATTTTCCAAGAAAGAGGAAGGATATACAGTAAATAGAATCTTGCCTTTTCCTTTTTATTTTCCTAAGGGTACTATTAAGCCTAAATATGTCTGTCACACAGGCTCTTAAAATAACAAAATAACACTGAAAAATTGAATGTTTCACCCATAGGCCTTTAGGCTTCAGGCTTTAATATCCTTATAATCAACAATGGCCTATGTCAGTGATGGAAGACAAATAGGTAATGACTTTTGGAGAAATAGTGTTTTACCTTCAGTGTGCAAGAACACATTCTAAAGCTTCCAGTGCTATGACTCAGCCTTCAGGGATGTTAAGGAGAAAGAGGCAAAAATTTGGAGCACGTCTCCTGTGGCTCTGAGGAAAGGCAGAGAGAGAAAGCCTGTAATTACCACCTAAAAGTCCCTGGGGCTCTGTCATGGGCATAATTTTGATTTGAGCTGGAGTTTGTTTAGGGATAGGTAAGAGGAGCTATGTTATGCAGTTGGGGATGGGATACTGGTAGCGGGCAAAAGTGAGGAAGTGAGGAGATTATTTACATCCATTCATTCATTCAATAAATCTTTGTTGAACCTAGTATTTTCTAGGCATTGCTGGGGATAGAGCACTAAACGATATAGACAAAAACCCTTGCCTTCAAGGAGCTTATAGTGTAGTGCGGGAAGCTAGGCAATAAACAAAGAAACAAGCAAAAGTTACAGTATGTCAGAATGTGATAAGTGTTTATGGAGAAGAATAAAGCTGGAGAATGGGATAGAGTGTGCTGGTGGGCATAAGAGTACTATTTTAAACAGAGCAGTGGAGGAGGTCTCCCTGATAAGATGATATTTAAGAAGAGAAGGAGGTGAGAGAGAGAGCCATTGAGGAAGAGGGCATGTGCAAGGAAAAAGGCCTCCCAAGTAAGACGAAAAACAGCATGAGCAAAGAAAGGCCTGGAGACAGCAGTGCACTGGCTTGTTCAAGGAGCCAGATGGTTAGAGGGAGCGACCCTAAGGAAACAGCAGGAGAGTTGTGTGTGGGATGTGGGGACTGTCCAGGGTGTGACGTAGGGCCTTGTAGATTCCTACTCTGCCTGAGATAGAAGCCGCTGCAGAGTGCTGAGTTGAAGGGTTAAGGTGCTCTGACACGGAGTTCCAGATAATCACTCTGGTTGCTGTGCGGAGAGTAAACTATAGGTGAATGCGGGGGCAAGGGAAAGGGTGAAGCAGGCGTGCACATCAGTGGAACTTTCAATAATCCAGATGAGAGATGATGGTGGCTTGAACCTGGGCGAAAGCAGTGGCAATGAGGCGTGGTTGGATCCTGAGTATATTTTGAAGTGAGAACCCACAGGACTTACTGATATGGATATGTTTTACAAGATAGAGGAGTCATAAGTGAAAAAATTAATTCTGTCTGAGCAGCTAGAAGGATGATGTTGCAAGATTGAGGAGACTGGGGGAAGTGTGAAGGAAAAGGTTAGGAATTTCTGGACATGTTGAATACAAAATGACTTCAAAGCATGGAGGAAAAACGAACAAAACCTGAGCCCCCTCAATTTTAATGTGTATTGTTTAGGAATACAGATAGGTGGGATAAAAACTTTATAAAATGGAAAGGAATGATAAACACAAAATATAAGATAGTGGCTTTATCATTCGGAGAAGAAAAGGCAGAGTGATGGGGTAGAGAAGGAACATACAGGTTAATGCAATGAAATTGGTGATGTTCCAGTTTTTAAGTGGAGTAGAAGCTTCATTGGTGTTCATTTTATTATTATGCTTCATAATTTACAGATATCCTCTTGCATTAATCAAATGTTACATGGTAAGAATTTAAGAAGGGAATGAGAGCAGTTGAAAACATGGAGTGTGGACAGCTATTTTGAGGGGTGTTTTTGTGAAAGGAAGTAGAATTTTTTTTTTTTAAGATGGAGTCTCACTCTGTCACCCAGGCTGGAGTACAGTGGTACAATCTTGGCCCACTGCAACCTCCGCCTCCCGGGTTCAAGCGATTCCCCCGCCTCAACCTCCTGAGTAGCTGGGATTACAGGCACACACCACCACGCCTGGCTAATTTTTGTATTTTTAGTAGAGACGGGGTTTCATCATATTGGCCAGGCTGGTCTCGAACTCCTGACCTTGTGATCTGCCCACCTCGGCCTCCCAAAGTGCTGGGATTACAGGCGTGAGCCACCACGCCTGGCCGGGAAGTAGAAATATTGAGTTGAAGTGGGGTCAAGAAGGGGTGTTTTAAAATAGGAATAAATGAGAGGATGTGCATCTGCTGATAATGATCCATAATGAAGGTGATATTGACGGCACAGGAGGGAAAGTGTTTCCTTGCTACAGAGATATCATTGAGTAGGAGAGAGGGTGTAGGGGGTTTCTGGTCTCTTCTTGCTCATTTGAAGGAGTTCCCTTTATATTCTAGACACCATTACTGATTTTAGAAATTGAAAATATCTCCTCCCATGGTCACCGTCCTTAGCACCCTCCATTAAACAGAAATTCCTATATTGGATGTTATCAATTTATTTCATGTTTTGTTCAAGGTATTGTTTCTGAATTTTGTGTAAAGAAGTTTCTCCCTGCTCCTAAGTCATGGGAGTAGTCTTTTATGTTTCATTATATCAACTTTATAGCTTTACTTTTCAATTTTAGGCCTTTAATTCTTCTAGCATCTCCCTTTATTTGTAGCATTAGGCAGTGATCCAACTTCAAATTCTCAAAATGGTAAACTAGTTTTTCCAATACAATCTACCAAACAATCTACCTTTTCCCTAGTGGTTTATGGAAAAACAATTGTTTGCAAGATTTTTTTTTTAAATCCCCCTGAGTATTTGCTTTCTCCAAATTTCCTTTTTACTCTTGATATATTGTGACTCCTGCTTTTTTTTAATTACAAATTATATTTCAGCATCTGGTGAGCCTCCCTGCGTGTTCATATGTTTTAAAATTGTCACACTAAAAAGCTGATGCAGGTGGGGGAGGTTTGCCCATTTGCAGGCACATAGTAGGATGGGCTGGGAGGCGGGGAGTCTGTTTCCTTAGGGAATTCTCAATCTTGGTATATCTTAATTGTTTCATTTAAGAGAAGGCTCTTCTAATATCTTGTCTGAAAGATACCCATTCAGCTCCATGCTGTTAGAAAGGGCGAGGAAAGCCCTGAGGTAAGGGATCGTGTTGAGGGAGATTTTCAAAGTAGAATAGACAAATTGTTTGCTTAAACCACCTGTGTTCCTTGGCACAGTCCTGGCTTACACCACACCTGGGTGTTTCTAATCCAACAGACTCTCTGTTTGATACTCTCAGAGAATAACATCCAGTCTGCTTTCGGGGTTCAGATAGGGGCAATAGTTTGGCTAACAGGGCTTGAGTAAAATATCTGTGGTTCTAGAGTTTTGCTGAAACACGTGTGCCCAGTCTTCTTTAGGCAAAGACTTCTAGGCATACTCCAAGCCTGTGATTCCCGAGACGCAGGAGCCCACATGACATCAGTCCTGTGGCTTCTTGGCTTGGGCCTCTGCTGGCTGGGATTCAGCTTCTGCATGACCACGAGAAAGGCATTTACCATTCCCGTGTCTATTTCCCAGATTCCAGAATTGTGATGCACTTGCTGCTGCTGCTTTTCTGTCTTTTGTGAGGCTGGAGACTTTCCACTCCCTCCTGTTCATCTTTCTTGGGAGAAGGTGCCATTTCTGCTCTCCTCGAAGACTAGGCATCTGGGCTGGAGCATCACCAGCCTCTTCACCTGAGCACCCTGAGCGACTTGATATTTAAATGATGTTCTACCTGATAAGAGGAAATCAGTTCACCTGTTTATGAAGAAAAACAGAACAAAACCTCTAGTGCCCAGAAACTTACCAGGATAGGGCTCCCCACTCCCTTCCACTCTGCCTCCTCCTCTCTCCATCTCCCTCCTAGTCCCACAAAGGTCTTTTATTGTTTGATGCAAACTGAGCCAACTCCTCTTTGAATTGAGCCTTGGTGAAGGTGGCAAATGTTATTATGTCCAAATGACCTTTTCTTAAAGGGGACACAAACCCCTGGATGTTCTAAAATAGAGAAACCAGGGAGTCCAGCCATGCAGCACCAAGCTGTGTGACACACGCTGTTTTATAGAACGTGACACACGCTGTTTTGTAGAACTCCAACAGACCTGCCGGCAAATGCAGCTGGTTAGAAAACAAAAGGCCTTTTTCTCCCTTGTGTGCAATTGCACCCAGCATCCTGGCCAGGAAACAGGTGGCTGCATGTTCAGTGTTTTCTTCTGAGAAAGGAGAAGCAAGATATTTAGATCTCTGCTGAGAGGCAGCTGTTCTCCCCTGGCTTTGTGCTAAGACTTGAGCAACATTCTTCCTAGGACTATAAGATGCTTTCCAGGTTTGTATAATTTTTCTTCCAAAGAGCTTCAAAACATGTGCAAACACAGATTTCAATCCCATCGCCACCCCCAGTTTGTAAATGTAGAACCAGAGAGACATAGAAATTAAGCAACATGCCCACTCTAGCGCCACAAGTCAGAGACAGGACCCGGAACAAAGTTTAAGCCATTTGTCTTTGTTGACTATTACAGATACCCTCATTCTGCTGGGATGATAGTGTAAGTGAGCAGGTAATTTTCAAGATGTTTTAACTGTCGGTTGGAATTGTCAATGTTTGTTTATTAAACTTTCTGACTCAAGGCCATGGTGATGATTTCCAGGGTATTTTTTTAATTAAAAAAAATTAAAAACATAAACAAAGCGCTGAGCATTTCATTGACAAAATTGAACCCGAACAAGCTCAAAAACAGTTGGAGTATCAGCCGGGTGCAGTGGCTTATGCCTGTAATCCCAGCACTCTGGGAGGCCGAGGCGTGTGGATCACGAGGTCAGGAGTTTGAGACCAGCCTGGCCAATATGGTGAAACCCTGTCTCTACTAAAAAATACAAAAATTAGCCAGGCATGGTAGCACGTGCCTGTAGTCCCAGCTACTTGAGAGGGTGAGGCAGGAGAATTACTTGAACCCAGGAGGTGGAGGTTGCAGTGAGCTGAGATCACGCCACTGCACTCCAGCCTGGGCGACACGGTGAGACTCCATCTCAAAAAAGAAAAAAAAAGTTGGCGTATCATCTGTCATAAAGTGGCAATTTGGATGATGAATTAATAATGAACTAATAATATTAAAGTCCTTGGATGGAAATGAGATCCACTGCAGGTGTGCAGAGAAGGCTGGGCAGGTGAATTAATCTATGATCTATGATCTCACACAGAATTCTGCATAGTAAATTTGATTCCCATGGTTCCAACAAAACGAAACACCTAACCACTATATCAAAGATGCCTTAAAAATGTGACAGATGCAGTACAGTCATTGTAGATTGCCTCCAGATGATCATATTTTGCAAAAAGAGAGATGCAAGCACAGAACACTCACAGCTGAGACAGTCACCGCCTAATGAGGGCCCATAGTATTGCTGATGATAAATTCCAATCTCATGGCTCCTACTTCTGGTTTTTCTAAACTACTCTTTATTAGGTTAGGTTTTTATTCCTATGGCCAAAGATATCCTTTGAAGCTGTGATGCTCAAATGGCTGTCTTTCTCTGGGTCAGCAAATACCAAGAGAAAATGGGAGCTGATATAATTACCGACATGTGATAGACTGGACTATTAGCCGCAACAGCATTCCCCACCCCTGTAGCGTTGCTATACTTTCACAGTCTTAGCCCCATAAAGGGTGGAGTGTATTTCTCCATCCCTTGACTTTGGGCTCAACCATGTCATTAGCTGTGATCAATGGGATGTTTAGGCTGGCTGTTTATCTCTCTGCCACTGTCATGGGGACAGGATGCACAGATAGCACAGTGGACCCAGGATATTGAGACACACGTGGTAAAAGGCTGTCCCAGCCAATCTTAGACATGCCCAAGAAACACATGCTTATTTTTATATGACATTGAGCTTTGGAGGTAGTGTGTTTCATAGAATTATTGTGGCTATAAATGACAGACACATCAACATTTTATTTGCCAAAGAACAACAAAGAACAGAAAATCTTACTATCGTTTTATAACAGACAGGACATTTTGTTACTAAAAAACAGAAAGAACATAACTTAGAATAAAAGTCACTCCTTTAAATTGAAATAGTTAACTATGAAAAACACATCACTGAATTCTCATTTTCCTCCCTTTTCAATGGGAACCTAGGAAAAGTTGATCATTGGGTTGTAGCAGTTTGGGGGATAACTCTAAGGAGTCTTCTCCACATAGGAGAAGGATCTAGGTACAGGTCCCCCAGAAGATTTCTCTGGTCTCCCCAGCTACAGATGAATCAACGTTCCTGCAGATTTATTCTCTTGTGTCTCGGGATACTATTTTGGTGTTGTGTATCTTTTTTTTCTTTTTTTTTTTTTGAGACAGAGTTTTGCTCTTGGTGCCCAGGCTGGAGTGAAATGGTGCGATCTAGGCTCACTGCAACCACCGCCTCTGGGTTCAAGTGATTCTCCTGCCCCGGTCTCCCGAGTAGCTGGGATTACAGGCATGTGCCACCACACCCAGCTAATTTTGTATTTTTAGTAGAGACAGGGTTTCTTCATGTTGGTCAGGCTGATCTTGAACTCCCGACCTCAGGTGATCCGCCCACTTTGGCCTCCCAAAGTGCTGGGATTATGGGCGTGAGCCACCATGCCTGGCTGGTGTTGTATATCTTTAATAAAAATCTTCTTTCTTTAACTCTTTAAGAGGCAAGCAACACCACTTACATTTAAAGTATGCTCTTTCTGAGAGGCTTAGGTGGCTGAAATAGCCTGGCAGAGGTCATGGGGCTGGGGGGATGTGTCTCACAATGGAGCAAATCCTTTCCTGGCTTCGTCTGGTGATTCTGACAGCGGATGCCCATGGTGCCTCTGACCATGGGTCCTTGACGAAAGCCGCCTGGTTAGCATGGCTTAGACAGTGTGAGGTTGGATTTGTTTTCTCCACAGGACTTTCTTTTCTTATTTTTAGCACCACTGTTCACAAAGAAAACGAAGAGATTGAATATCGAATTGTGGGTTGCAGATTATAAATTATAGCCCAAGCAAAGGAATTTGACTCATCCTCTTGTTACAAAGCATGAAAGTGGCCATTCACGCAGGAAATTACGGTCTAGGGATAATAAAAACAAAGGACATTCAAGTGGATGACCTTCCTCAGGCAGTGGAAAGCTAATTGAGTTCTTTAGGCTAGAGCAAACCCCAAATCTGTTGGTTCCCACCAGTTCTGCTGCTCATAGCCTATAACTTTGGCCAGGCTTGAGTGAATCATCAGTTCCATGGCAAATCGGGCAGTGATTAGGCATGGCTGTGGTGGGCTCTGCATTGCAAAGTTCTCAGACCTTTTGTTTTTGTTTTCGAAATTTTAAAAAAATCACACAACTGTATATAACTATATAAATGAACGAATGTAAAAATGATGAAAACTGAATGAGATCTGTAGTCTTGTTACCAATACTGTACCAATGTCAATTTCCTCATTTTTACATTTTACACCTCTTAGGGTTGCCAGGTTCAGCAAATAAAAATACAGCACACCTAGTTAAATTTAGCTTCAGATAAACAACAAGGAATATCAGGAAACATTTCTAATGAATAGTTATTTGTTATCTGAAATTCAAATTTAACTGTATATCTTACATTTTATCTGGCAATCCTAATTATACTACAGTTATTTGCAACGTCACTATTAGGGGACGTCGGATGAAGAAGGCATGAGACTCCGTGTACTATTTTTGCAACTTCCTATAAGTCTATAATTATTTCAAAATAAAAAGTTCTAAAACATCATATCCTCCTCTATTCATCCCACATACAAAAATATGGGCATCCTCAGATAACCTGGAAATGAAATGGACTGTCTGCCTTGCTGGTTTATATGTTATTTGTTGAGCTACAACGGGTTTGTAGAGGCTGGGTACTTGTCTCTTAGCTGTGGAAAAAAACAGTGAAGACAATTGGAAAAGATAAATTGTGTGTGGCAAGCTTCTCTTCCAATCCTGTTAAAGTCTCAAATGCACCTCCTCTGCTGGCAGTTGGGCAGCAAATAGCATTTTCACTCTGATGTGTTGTAAGTGAGCTCTCTTTGATGTCCTGCATCTCCAGTGACAAACTGTCATGGCTTCCAAAGTGATTTGGCTGAACTTCCTGGCCAAAGACTAGGCTAAACTGAAATAGCAGCTCAATTTCTGTTTCTTATTCTAGAGGAATGGCCTTCAGGACTACTAAATATGTTAAGATGTACTGAGCATTCATATAATTGGATTCCTGAATGCAAAGGGCCCAATGCCAAGGTGACATTCACAGGGAATGTATACTCTTTACCTGCTTAGGTAGCTGGCCCTGTGTTCTTGGTGTTCTTTTAGGCCGAGGAGGTCTGAGGTTCCCTCTTGCCCCTCTCATGTAAAACCAAGACAAAGAACCTGGGTTCTTGGCTCCTTTATCATGGAACTATTTGCTAGTCACGGCAGTCTAAATGTTAGCACTCAAAATGTGGGTGGAAAAATAGTCAGATTAGGAAAAAGAGGACTGAACCTCCTTGCCCAAAGCAGCACTGTTTGAGTTCCCCTCTCCATATTTTCCTGTCCTAGTATTCAGAGATGATATTCAAATATTCAGCGACATGACTATTGAATGCCTGATACACCTATAATATTTCTTTCCCGTATTTTTAATCTGTATTCTCTATGATTACCTCTTTGTAGGACAATTTTCTAGTATTTTTATAGAGAGAATAGAAAGATAATCTAGTCTTTCCTGTGGCATGTCTAATTTTAAAGTTTTAAAGTCACATTAATAGTTTAGAAAATGTTGTTTCAGATTCACAGCTCATTCTTGGCAATGTTTTGCAAATTTTTTAGAATTATTAAAATGTTTTTTAGAATTATATAAAATTTTTTTCATATATGAGCAGTAAGATTTCAGAGACTTTCAATTTTCTTGTTCAATGACTGTTCTTAAGTGATCTGAATTGGTGACACTCACTGACCAGGTATCAAAGTATCTGTGTCAAGATATGGGTGAGTTGCCCCAGAGGCCTTAGTTGTATCCCAGGGAAACAACCACACCAGAAAAGGTTTAGCAGGAAAACTTACCTATACCAGAAAGTGATTGCAAAGAACATAAATATATTCTACCCAAAGCAAATTGGATATATTCCAGTTTAAGTTTTTATAATGTTTGCCAAATGTATGTGAACATGATTATCATTTTTATTTGTACTTTGAGTCTTATTGAGACTAAAGCTATCTTCATTGGCTTTGGCCTTTTTCATTTTATTTATTTATTTTTTTGTGAATTGCCATTTTAGTTTTTTTTTTTTGAGATGGAGTCTTGCTCTGTTGCCCAGGATGGAGTACAGGGGCACGATCTCAGTTCACTGCAACTTCCACCTCTGGGATTCAAGTGATTCTCCTGCCTCGGCCTCCCAAGTAGCTGGGATTACAGCCATGTGCCACCACCACGCCCGGCTAATTCTTGTACTTTTAGTAGAGATGGGGTTTCACCATGTTGGCTAGGGTGATCTTGAACTCCTGATCTCAAGTGATCTATTCACCTTGGCCTCCCGAAGTGGAGGGATTACAGGCATGAGCCACCGCACCTGGCTGCCATTTTAGATCTTTTGTCCATTTTTCTCTTTACATTTTATCTTTTTTCTATTAATTTGTATGACTTAAAAATATATATCTAAGATAGTTGACTTCATGTTTTGTATGTGTCACAGATATATTTTTCTGCGAATTAACCTTGTTTATGATGTTCTTTGCTGTATAGGAAGTTTAAATTTTTATAATTAAATGTACAACTCTTGTCTTTTGCAAGCTCTATTTTTAGTCTTATTTTTAGTAAATCCTTTTTTATTGCAAGACCTAACAATATTGACCAAATAATAGTAGTAATAATGAGAGTAATAACAATAATTACAACTGTTACATCTATCTATTTAGTACATGTTATTTGCAAGAGATCTCACCAGACATCGAAATTACGGAATTATATTTCATTCAATTATTAGTCCAGCAACCTAGGTGACCTTATCTTGCAAATGAGGAAATTGAGGCTCAGAGAGGTTTATCAGTTTGACCTTGCCCAAGGTCACTGTGATCTGCTTGACTCCGTAGCCTTGGCAGGACTGAGGGACAGGTGCTGAGTCCGGAGGGCGGGCGAGACAGGTGGGCTGGAAAGCCAACTGGGATTGGATGGTGTGCGTAGCTCCTTTCCCTGTGGTAACAGAAATTCCTAGTCATTGCTCTGGGGAAGAAGTGCATTTTATTGACTAATCTTCCAAACAAACTTTAGTCTCATTTTGTCAATTTCAAGTAAAAAATCCTTTTGGAAATTTGACATTAAAAATAAAATCTTCGCACCCAAGATCATGCAATATCTCATTTATTTAGGTTTTCTCTCACACTCTAAAGTAATATTTTATAGTTTTTAAAAATACTATCTGGCACATCTCATAAGGAGAGTGTATTATGAATGGGATCTTTTTTTAAAAAATTATATTTCTAATTGGTTATTTTTCATGTAAAACTTCTGATTTTTATATGTAGACCTATCTGGCCACCTTACTTGATTCTCTTCTTTGTTCTAAAACAAATTTCCAATTGATCATCTTGTGGTTCTTTGGTAGACTGACCCAGGTTTATAACTTTATATAATCTTGCCACTTATTTTGACAGAAAATGTAATTTATTTATTGTGTCTAGAATTGATCTGGTTTCCTGGCTTGTTAGTTAGCAGCGAAAACATTTAAATGTTAACATTAAACAGTCAGTGTCAGCCATGCACAGTGGCTCACACCTGAAATTCCAGCCCTTTGGGAGGCCGAGGTGGGTGGATCACTTGAGGTTGAGACCAGCCTAGCCAACATGGTGAAACCCCATCTCCCTCTACTAAAAATACAAAAATTAGCCAGACGTGGTGGCTGGCTCCTGTAATCCCAGCTACTTGGGAGGCTGAGGCAGGAGAATCTCTTGAACCCAGGAGGTGGATGTTGCAGTGAGCCGAGATGCGCCATTGCACTCCAGCCAGAGCAATAGAGCAAGACTCTGTCTCAAAAACAAACAAACAAACAAACAAACAAAAAACAGTGTCGTTTATTCCAGTCTAACAGTTGAAGTAGTCTCTTTAGTGTGTTCTCAGTCTCTCCAGGGAAAGGAAAAAAAAAAGCACAGTTTTTTGGAGAGCTGGCCCCTTCCCTTTTAATTTCACCAAGATAGGGTCTGGGTATATGAGGAAAATTGCCCTGTCTTAGTGGTGGTGATGAGAAGGAGGATTCGGATGGGTGTAATACTCTTATTCTGTCTTCTCTGTGGTGACATCTTTGCTCTGATGGACTTCAGTACAGTAGTCTCTGGACACTGAATTTACAACTCATTTTTTTTTAATTTATTAATGCTCCTGGATGCAGTGGTCATACTCACCCCTCCCCACAGGCCCCAGTCCCTCTGCCCCTGCCCTAACAACATGCAATCCCCTCAGTTCTTGCTGGCTGCACCCCTGAGTCTTAGCCTCATTCTCTGCCTAACCCTCTGGCTTGATGGTCCCTCCCACCCTCTGCTCTCAGGTCACAGGTTCCCAGACTCTGAATCTCGTGTCCTACTGGATAGGAATTGATGGTGGCCTGTGAAAACTAAATTTCAATACCTCACTTTGCATGTATCTCCAATTTGCTTTAGTGTGTTTTAATCCCATTATGGTTTTGGGTAGTGACATGGTTTGGATCTGTGTCCTCATTTATATCTCATGTTCAATTATAACCCCTAATGTTGGAGGTGGGGTCTGGTGGGAGGTGATTCGATCATGGGAGCAGATTTCTCTTGAATGGTTTAGTACCATCCTCTTGGTACAAGCCTCATGACAGTGAGTTCTCACGAGATCTGGTTGTTTCAAAGTGTGTGGCGCCTCCCCCTCTCCTTTCTCTTGCTCCTGCTTCTGCCATGTAACATGCCCGCTCCCCCTTCACCTTCTGCCATGATTGTAGGCTTCCTGAAGCCTCCCCAGAAGCTGAGCAGACATTGGCACCATGCTTTCTATAAAGCCTGTAGAGCCATGAGCCAATTAAACCTCTCTGCTTTATAAATTACCCAGTCTCAGGTATGTCTTTATAGCAATGTGAGAATGGCCTTATACAGGTAATCTATGAATCGGACTCCACCCAGAGCCCCAAATGGGAAACAGGAGACACGAGACCTCTCTGTCCTCAAGTTTTATCCTCATTTATCTTATATATCTGTCTCTTTTCTTGCCCAAAAGGGTAACCTGGGACCACATTGACCAGCTTCGCTGTCTTGCATCCCTTTCTTCTGAAGCCCCCCAAAAAGAAAACAATTATTTGAAACTTACCTTTCACCATTTTTTTTTTCCATCATGGCTTTGCAGTCATAGAAAGACTTGGTGTCTTTTCTGCTCCCTCCAAAATTAATCTTATTTGCAAGTAAAATACTACTGCATTTTTTCTTTTTGTAAAACCAAATTATAATCTCTATCCCTACCTGCCCCTCAGTAATTAGGATAAAGATCATGTACTAAATGATTCTGAAGACATTGCTTTAGTTACAAGGTTATTAAAATAATTGCAGATAATTTTGTTTCTGTCTTGATTTTTCTTATCTTAGTGGCACCTAGAGGCTCTGGCCAGGGCCTCTAGGACAATGTTGAATAGTAGGACTGATAGAAGGTAGCTACCTTATCCCGACTTTCATGAGGTTACTTTAAATGTCACTGTCAAGTTATGATGTTTTCTGGCAAATATCTTTAAGTTAAGGAAAATGCCTTCTATTTTTAGTTTACTAAGAGTTTTCTTTTTTAAAGATTAAGCATTAAATGTTAGTGCTTTTTTTTGCTTCTATTGGTATTGCCTAATTTTTCTACCAGGTTAATATACCCAGGTAAGTAAAACACCATTCTGCCCAGGTAAGTAAATCGCTATTTCTAGCTATTCTAATCATTTGAATTGAATTTATCTGGTGGCAAACAATGACTAATAGGCATTTAATAGCAATAAAAGAGGAGTGTGTTGAAAATACAGTGGGGATATTTTGAAGAAACAAAGAGCTGAACAATGAAAGCTCAAGGAGAACCAAGACTGCTTGGAGGAGCCAAGCAACAGAAGCTAGCAGATCGCATTGCTCCTACGACACCATCGTATCATTTACCCCCAATTACCTTTATTACCTTATGATTTTTTTTTTTACTTTTAAAATGGTTTCATTTTATGTCCAAATAATGAACAGATGTTGTACCCATAAATTCTACTTTCCAAAAACAATTAGGAGCTTTTTAAAAGAAAACCACATAATAAATTTTTAAAAGGCACTGGGATTCCTCTGCTTCTAGATCATTGTTAGGCTAGAAAAATAAAGTTTGTTCTACCAGGAATCACAGGTTAGAACCGAATATTCTCCAAAGTGGAAATTCTAGAGTGTAATGCCATTTCAGGCAAAGATTATTCAGTTCTCATCCCCAGCATCCACATCTACCTATCAGAAGGGTTAAACCAGGTCAAAACAGTCCAGCATAATTAGGCCTCATCAAACAATGTCATTATGCTCTTCTAAGATGCAAATAAACCAAAACAGGAAATACTAAAATCACAATAATATTTGACGCTGTCATACAAATTGTTAGTTCCTTGTTGTATCCCCTCTTCTATAACATTAATAAAAGGAATATTTTACTGCAAAGAATATTTTAATTTATACATCACTAGCCATGAATTTTTGCCATTCATTGTTATACAAATGCTACTGAAAGGTGACAACGTGCTAGCAGTCCTCGCTCGCTCTAGGCACCTCCTTGGCCTCGCGTCCACTCTGGCCACTCTTGAGGAGCCCTTCAGCTCACCACTGCACTGTGGGAGCCCCTCTCTGAGCTGGCAGTGAGGGGCTTAGCACCTGGGCCAGCAGCTGCGGAGGGTACGCCGGGTCCCCCAGCACTGCCCGCCCGCCCGCTCCGTGCTTGAATTCTCGCCAGGCCTCAGCTGCCTCCCCGCAGGGCAGGGGTCTGGACTTGCAGCCCGCCATGCCCGAGTCCCCCCCCAGTCCATGGGCTCCAGCGCGGCCCAAGCCTCCCCAACGGGCGCCACCCCCTGCTCCATGGTGCCTGGTCCCATTGACTGCCCAAGGGCTGAGGAGTGCGGGCAAGCCGTGTGGGACTGGCGGGCAGCTCTGCCCATGGCCCCAGCACGGGATCCACTAGGCGAAGCCAGCTGGGCTCCTGAGTTGGGTGGGGACTTGGAGGACTTTTATGTCTAGCTGGAGGATTGTATATGCACCAATCAGATCTCCGTGTCTAGCTCAGGGTTTGTGAATACACCAATCAGCACTCTGTATCTAGCTAATCTGGCGGGGACTTGGAGAACTTTTATGTCTAGATAGAGGATTGTAAATGCACCAATCAGCACTCTGTGTCTAGCTAAAGGATTGTAAATGCACCAATCAGTGCTCTGTGTCTAGCTTATCTAGTAGGGACTTGGAGAACTTTTGTGTCTGGCTAAAGGATTGTAAATGCACCAATCATCACTCTGTGTCTAGCTCAAGGTTTGTAAACGTACCAATCAGCACCCCGTCAAAATGGACCAATCAGCTCTCTGTAAAATGGGCCAATCAGCTGTCTGTAAAATGGACCAATCAGCAGGATGTGGGTGGGGTCAGATAAGGGAATAAAAGCAGGCTGCCTGAGGTAGCAGCGGCGACCTGCTGGGGTCTCATTCCACACCGTGGGTTCTTTGTCCTTCTGTTCGTTGCAGCAAACCTTGCTGCTGCTCATTCTGTGGGTCCACACTCCTTTTTTGAGCTGTAACAATCACCACGAAGGTCTGCAGCTTCAGTCCTGAGGCCAGCGAGACCACGAACCCACCAGAAGGAACAAACATCTCCAGACGCGCAGCCTTTGAGAGCTGTAGCACTCACTGCGCAGGTCTGCAGCTTCACTCCTGAAGTCAGCGAGACCACAAACCCACCTGAAGGAAGAAATCTGGACACATCTGAAGGAACAAACTCCCGACACATCATCTTTAAGAACTGTAACACTCACTGCGAGTGTCCGTGGCTTCTTTCTTCGAGTCAGCAAGACCAAGAACCCACCAATTCCGGAAACAGTACCTACTGCCATTATCCCAATGGCATAACCATTTTATGTCCACAATTCACTTCTATAGTTATAGGTAGAAGTTTCATGATTTACATGAGTACATCTATCGGTGTAGATTTTACACTAAGATTCAATCTAACATCCGTAATAGCTGATGTTTTGAAGACAGTAATGTAGGAAAGATATATTTTAATCACTTTTCATTTAAGTGACCATATATAAAAAAATAAACCAATAATTTAGCAGTTCCAAGTCTCCAAAGGACATTTTCAAATGTACATCAAGAAATGGTTACAGAGATGTTTAAGAAGCGTCTTCATGTCTACATCCTGTTGTAACTGCTGTACTGTTTTCTCTTCCAGCTGCTTCTCTTTGCCTTCAAGAGGGACTCGGGTAAGATGGATGTTTTGCTTGACTTCTTGGATATCCTGGACTTTCTGTAGCTCTTTATTTTTCCTTAATCTGTTTATTATACATTTAGCTTGGCGTTTCTGTTTGATCTCTTCAACTCTCTTCATTGCATCAATAGTTTTATTCCATAGGTCTCGCTGGATTTGATAGGTTCATTTCTATGTTATTCAAATTCAAATGAATTATCCACTGTAAGCTCTTTACCAGCTGCTTCCCGGAATGCTTTAGTCCACCTAACTTTGCAAGGATTGTGCTGCTTTTTAACTTTTTTATGCCGTTTAGATTTACAAAATCTGAACACCTTGCAATCATTGCGGATGAACGTTATGCCATGGCCAGGGTAGATGGGCCCCAAACAGAAATAATGCTTCTTGATACACGTGTTGAACCCGCGTGGGTCCCCACCAGCCAAATGCCAAGCTTGAGAGGAAGTGACCACCTTATGATGTTTTCAAGAACTAAATTTCAAGCAGAGAGAATCTTATTTGTCTGGTTTAGGTCACATGTCTACTCCATGGTTGAGCAGTAGTAGTGTGGGCTCTTCCAGAATAGGGGAGGAACAATTGCTTAAAGAAAGTAGCATTACAAAAAGAAGTTTAGGGGTAGTTGGTGAGAAAGAAATGTGTTAGGCAGGAAAAACGCTATCATAGTACATGCTAGAGTGGATTTGCCAATTTTTAAAATATTTTTTCATCTATGTTGTGCATATATATTTGCATCTCAAAGATGGAATTAGTTTATTTTGTGCTTGTTTGAAGTTTTCTATTCCTTTTGGTATATTTTAAGCAAAGTTTAATTAATACAAAAACTTTTTTTCCTAGATTGATTGGTAGAACCTGCCTGATTCTGGTATATAATTACTATTTGTTTGGTTTTAAATATATATTTTTGGCTCATTTATTATTTGTTCCATGAATAATGGTGTACTTGGGTTTCCTTGCCTCTTGAGTAAATTTTGACAATTTATACTTTCGTAGAAAATGGTTTATTTCATGTAAATTGTCAAATCTGTTGCTATAAATTTGTATCCAATATTTTCCTATATTTTAAGCATTTCTTCCTACTAGTAGTTCAGGCATTTTTCTCATTCTTATCCTGCTTATTTGTGTTTTCTCTTTCTTCTGAAACAGATCTATTTTATTGGACTTTTCAAAGAAACTGCTTGTGCTTTTTTCACGTGTTCTTTAATTAAATGTGCTCATTTGACTTCTATTTCCATTGATTCCTTTCACTTTTTACAAGTTATTTTGTTGCTGACTTTCTTGCTTCTTGAATTGAATGCCAGTATATACATTTTTATTACATTTTCTCAGATTCTCACTTGGAGGATCAAAAAAATAACAGTGGGCCCCATTATTACTTTTTCCCATGGCTTTGGAAATGATCGTGTCAATGAAGGTTATGTTTAGCTGCATAAAAATAATAACAGAAATTTAAATAAGTTAGAAGTATATTTCTCTTTCACACAGCAGAAATCTTGTGGATAGGCACTTCAGGCTGAAATGGTGGTTCAGCTCCCACAGTCACCAGGGATGACTAGCCCGCAGGCACCCTAGTGCTATTCTGTTATCCTCAGCACATCATTTCAACCTTAAACTCCCCTCATTGTCTTATACAGCTGCTGGTCGTCATCATGCCTGCATTTTAGGACAAAAGGGACCACTTCTCAGCTGAGTCAACTCTCTTTAAGCAGATTCCTGGGAATGCTCACATATCACTTTCACTTATATCTCATTGGTCATGGAAGAGAGCCAGAGAAAAACAGATTTTCCATGAATCCATTGTTATTTTAATGGTAGTCCTATCTTGAAGACAGGGAGAAGGAATATTAGATAGGAAATAGCAATCTCTGCCACAATGATGAAGAAACCAAGTTGTATTGATATCTGCTTCTAGATCAGACACTGAAGATGCTTAGGATGGGTTTTTTCAGTTTAGTAGATATTTTGGAAGCATGGGCTCCTTTGGCATCCCAGCTATCCTCTCTTTAGAGCTCAGGTCATTAGAAAGAGTGGTGGAGAAGACTTCAGTGTGAGCTTGGCCTCCACTTATTATGAGGGACGTGTAATTGCAACCCCTCTGAGTATATTTCATTACTTAAAAATTGAGAACTTTATCTGATACCTGTCCTACTTGTTTTCTAAGATTGATATAAGGCTCAAATATGCAATAAATTAATATTTATTTTATGTGTGTATTTACTATATTACATATTGTAGTATAATATTTATTTGCTATATCCCATTCTGGGATATAAATGTTCTCCATACAGGATTTAATTTCATTGAGAGCTTGCATTCACACTGAAGATTTTACTAAGCATTTATTAAGTGTCTACTATGTGGAGGATATTAGGATTCAGTGGTAAATAAGACAATGTTGTTGCCCTCCTGGGATTTCATTCTGTCAGTGAGTCAGACATTAAGTAACACATTACAGAATGCATTGCTTCATGACAAATAGTCTAGGTGGCGTGCAAGCTAAGCATGGGGTCCTGTGAGCACTGAAGGAGGAACTGTGACTTACTGTGGAGGGTCAGGGAAGGCTTCCTTGGAAAGAGACATGGACCTGATTCTGGAGGAGGATTAGAAATTAGGGAAATTGGTGAAAGGTTTCCACAGATGAGACATTACATATGAAAAACCACTAATAAAAGGATTAAAAATGTAGTGATTCATTTTAAGAAGGAAGCGTTGTAAAGATCTGAGTTTGGAAGAGGAGGAAGAAATGTTCTGAATTTTTCATTTCTCCTGTTTCCCCAAATGCCTACATGTATGTGTTCTTCTTCACACAAAGAAGAAAATTGAGCTAAAAGTTGTATAGCTCTTAGTTTTACTGTAATTATTTTTATCAAAAAACTGTATTTCTTTAATTTTATTTGATCTTGTCCTGCCAAAATCTCACTGAAGTTGGACTAATAGATAATCTGAGAAATAACACCTTGTACCATTTACCAACATAGTTGGGAGGCTGTGATGCTTGCTGTCATTTTCTGAATTTCAGTGATACCCAAGACCAGGGTTCTCCTCAATTCTCTCTCTTACTCATGAGGCCAGAGCTCAGCAAACGCCTTTGTCAAGAGACACGTAAGAGCTGCCAGTTGGTAATTTTCAGTATCAGCAAACTTACATGTTTGGCTCTCACAAAATAGTCACAGTCAAGAAAAGGTGGGAAGAGAGTATTGAAGCAGAGTGGGAAGCCAATCAAAATACCAGTGTTCTTTATTTACTCATGATTCTATGGCAAATTTGAGCGAAAATGACTTATCTTGAACTTTTTTTCCTGAGGATTAAAAGCTCTTGTAGTGCAGGTACAGGCCCTGCAGTGGCTCTTCAAGATCTGTGACACACGTGGTATTAAGTCCTTTCATGTGACTTTTCTCCAGTCTTCATCTCTAACAAAATGGACAAA
The DNA here is from genome assembly GCF_000001405.40 of Homo sapiens. Lineage (NCBI taxonomy): Eukaryota > Metazoa > Chordata > Mammalia > Primates > Hominidae > Homo > Homo sapiens. The sequence goes on along the minus strand of NC_000001.11, from coordinate 242,769,591 downwards.
AAGTTACTATATCCACTTTTATTTTTATTCTATTTGATTTATTTTTTTTGTTTTAAATTGTATTATTATTTTAATTGACAGATAGAATTGTATATATTTATTGTGTACAACATGATAGTTTGAATTGTATATACTTGTGGAGTGACTAAATTTAGCTAATTGACATATGTGTTACCTCACATAGGTTACCATTTTTGTGGTGAGAACACTTCATATTCACTCTCCTAGCATTTTTCAAAAATACAATATATTGTTAACTATAGTCATCATGTGGTACAAAAGATCTCTTGAAATTACTCCTCCTACCTAACTGAAATGTTGTATCCTTGGGCCAACATTCCTCCTCCCTCTCTGCCAGCTACTTCAGACCTTGGTAACAACTATTCTATTCTCTGCTTCTAGAAGATCAGCTTTTTTGGATTCCACATGAGTGAGACCATGTGGTATTTGTCTTTCTGTGCCTGGCTTATTTCTTTTGACATAACATCCTCCAGGTTCATCCATGTTGTTGCAAATGACAGGATTTCCTTCTTTTTATGGCTGAATAAATAAGGAAAAAAATAAGGCAATAAAGAATAAAGAAGGAAAAATTTGTATATATATACCATGTTTTCTCTATCCAGTCATCCTCTGATGGACACTTAGGTGGATAACGTTTCTTGGCTATTATGAATAATACTTCAATAAAAATAGCAGTAGGGAAATAGGCATACTGATTTCATTTCCTTTGGATATATTTAATATATCTAATAGTGGGATTACTAGATATGGTAGTTCTATCTTTGATTTTTTGAGGAAGCTCTATACCATTTTCCGTAATGGCTGCATTAATTTACATTCCTACCAATAATGTGTGAGGGCTCCCTTTTCTCTACATCCTTTCCAACACTTGTTATCTTTTGTCTTTTTGATGAAGATGATTAGTGATGTTGAGCATTTTTTCCATACGTTCATTGGGTATTTGCATGTCTTATTTTGAGAAATGTGTACTCAGGTTATCTGCCCAATTTTTAATTGGGTTATTTGTTTTATTGCTATTAAGTTGTTTGAGTTCCTTGTAAATTTTGGATACTAACCCTTCATCAGATGTATGGTTTGAAAATATATTCTCCCATTCTGTAGGTTGTTTCTTCAATCTATTGATTAATTCCTTTGCTGTATAGGGAACCTTTTAAATTTGATGTTATCTCATTTATCTATTTTTGCTTTTGTTGCCCAGTCTTTTGGGGTTATATTTTAAAAATCACCGTCCAGACCAATATCATGGAGCTATTCTCGTATGTTTTCTTCTAGTAGTTTCATAATTCAGTCTTGTATTTAAGTCTTTAATCCATTTTGAGTTGATATCTGTATATGTTGTGAGATAAGGGTCTAATTTCCTTCTGTATATAGATATTTAGTTGTCCCAACACCATTTATTGAAGAGACTGTTCTTTTCCCATTGTGTTCCTGGCACCTTTGTTGAAAATCAACTGACCGTCAGTGCATGGATTTATTTTTGGGCTCTCTATTCTGTTCCATTGGTCTATGTGTCTGTTTTTCAGCCAGTACAATGCTGCTTTGGTTACTCTAGGTTCGCGGTATATTTTGAAGTCAGGTAGTGTAATGTTTCCAGCTTTGTTCTTTTCGCTCAAGATTGCTTTGACTATTTGGGATCTTTTGTGGTTCCACGTTGATTTTAGAATTGTTTTTCCTATTTCTGTGAAGAATCTCATCAATATTTCAATAGGATTTCACTGAATCTGTAGATTGCTTTGGTGAGTATGGACATTGTAACAATATTAATGTTTCAATCCATGAACATAAGGGATCTTTCTATTTATTTGTGTCTTTTAAAATTTCTTTTATAAATTTTTAAGGTTTTAAGTTTAGAGATTTTTAAACTTCTCGGTTAAATTTAGTACTATTTTATTTTTTGTAGCTATTATAAATGGTATTTTTTTAAAATTTCTTTTTCAGGTAGTTCAACATTAGTGTGTACAAACACTATTGATTTTGTATGTTGATTTTGTAACCCGTAACTTTACTGAATATGTTTATCAGTTTTAACAGTTTTTGGTGGCATTTTTAGGATTTTCTATATGTAAGATCATGTCATCTGCAAACAGGGACAATTTAACTTCTTTTCCCATTTGAATGTCTTTTATTTCTGTCTCTTTCCTAATTGCTCTGGCTAGGACTTCCAATACTATGTTGAATAGAACTGGCAAGAGTAGGCAGCCTTATCTTGTTCTGGGTCTTAGAAAAATAGGTTTCAACATTTTTGCCATTTAATATGGTATCAGCTGGGGTTTGTCATATATGGCCTTTAACATGTTGAGGTGTGTTCCTTCTATACCTAATTTGTGGAGAGTTTTTATTATTACAGAATGTTGAACTTTGTCAAATGCTTTTTCTGCAACTATTGAAATGATTATATGGTTTTGTCTGTAATTCTTTTAATACAATGTATCATGTTTATTGACTTATGTATTTTCAACCATCCTTGAATATCTGTGAGGAATCCCACTTAATAATGGTCAATGATCTTTTTGATATGCTACTGAATTTGGTTTACTAGTATTTTGTTGAGAATTTTTGCATGTAAGTTCATCAGGGTTATTGGCCTGTAATTTTCTTTCTTTTTAAAATGTCCTTGCCTGACAGAAAACCAAACACCAGATGTTCTCACTCATAGGTGGGAATTGAACAATGAGAACACATGGACACACGGTGGGGAACATCACACCCTGGCGGGTGAGGGGAGTGGGGAGGGATAGCATTAGGAGATATACCTAATGTAAATGATGAGTTAATGGGTGCAGCACAACAACATGGCACATGTATACATATGTAACAAACCTGTATGTTGTGCACATGTACCCTAGAACTTAAAGTAAAATAATAATAATAAAAAAAGCTATCACAGATACTCAACAGGAAACTTCAGAAATTATAATTTTGATATTTATATTAAAAAATAAATAAATAAAATGTCCTTGCCTGGCTTTGTTATCAGGGCAATGCTGGCTTCATAAAATGGAAGTCCTCCCTCCTTTTCAATTATTTGGAAGAGTCTGAGAAGAACTGGTATTGGTTCTTCAAATGTTTGATAGAATTTAGCAGTGAAGCCATCAGGTCCTTGTCTTTTCTTTGTCAGAAGACTCTTTATTACTGATTCAATCTCCTTACTCATTATTAATGTGTTAATATTGTCTGTATCTACATAGTACAGGCTTGGTAGGTTTTATGTGTCCAGGAATTTATCCATTTCTTCTATGTTATTCGATTTGTATATAATTGTTCACAATAGTCTCCTTTGTCTTTTGTATCCTTTATTTTTTGTAATGTAGTGTAATGTCTCCTTTATTTTTACATTTTTTTTGTAATGTAGTGTCTCCTTTATTTTTAAAAGAGACATTATTTTTAAAGGGGACATCACATTACAAAACTAATGTTTATTTTTGTAATGTTTCTTTTATTTTTCTGATTTTATTTATTTGAGTCTTCTACCTTTTCTTAGTCTAGATAAAGTTTTGTCTATTTTGTTTGTCTTTTCAGAAGACAGACTCTTGATCTTCTCTATTGTTTTTCTAGTCTATTTCATTTATGTCTGCTCTGATCTTTATTATTCACTCTCTTTTATTAACTTTGGGTTTAGTTTGTTTTTGTTTTTCTAGTTCCTTTGGGTGCAATGTTAACTTGTTTATTTGAGGTTGTTCTTCTTTTTTGAGGTAGGCATTTATTACTACAAATGTCTTCTTAGAACTGCTTTTGCTGTATCCTGTAGCTTTTGGTATATTGTGTTTCCATTTCAGTTTGTCTCAAGAAATTTTTTAACCTCTCTTTTAACTTCTTCATTGATCTATTGGTTGCTCAGGAGCATGTTATTTTAATGTACTTATGAATTTTCTGAAGTTTCTCCTGTTATTGATTTCTCATTTTATACCATTGTGGTCAGAGAAGATGCTTGATAGGATTTGTATGTTTGTCAGGGAAAGTGTTTATCTCTTTATCTTTTCTGAAGGATAGATTTTCGGTATTCTTGGTTGGCAGGATTTTTCCTTCTCTAGTAACTTTGAATATCATTCTACTCTTTCTTGGAGTATAAGTTGTCTGCTGAAAAATCTGCTAGCTATATTCAAACTACCTTAAATGTTATTTGCTTCTTTTTTTGTTTGTTTGTTTTTGTTTTTGCTACTTTCAGAATCTTCTTTTTGTCTTTGATTTTCGACGGTTTGATTATAAAATGTCTTGAGTACTCTTATTTGGATTGAATCAGGTTAGACTCCTTTAGCCTTCCTGTAACTGAATATTTACAACTTCCTGCAGGTTTGGAAAGTTTTCTGCTACTATTTCCCTCCCTCTGTCCCTTCCTCCCTTCCTTCCTCTCTTTCTCTCTTTCTTTCTCTCTTTTTTTTTTTTTTTTTTGACATGGAGTTTTGCTGTGTGATCCAGGCTGGAGTGCAGTGGTGTAATCTCGACTCACTGCAACCTCTGCCTCCCAGGTTCAAGCGATTCTCCTGCCTCAACCTCCCGAGTAGCTGGGATTACAGGTGTGAGCCACCACACCAGGCTAATTTTTGTTTTTTTTGTAGAGACAGGATTTCACCATGTTGGCCAAGCTGATCTCGAACTCCTGACCTCAGGTGATCCACCCAACTGGGCCTCCTAAAGTGCTGGGATTACAGGCATGAGCCAGTGCACCTGGCCTACTATTTCTTTAATTAAGTTTTCAGCCCCTTTATGTTTTTCTTCTCCTTCTTTAACTGCTATGACTCAAAATTGCTCTTTTGATCCTGTCCCATATATACTATATATTTATTCATTCCTTTTCATTCTTTTTTATCTTTTTTCCTTTGAATGTGTATTTTCAAATAACCTGTCTTTGAGTTCACATATTCTTTATTTTGCTTGATCGATTAAGCTGTTGATGTTGTCCGTTTCATGTTGATCATTGTATTTTTTACCTCCAGGATTTCTGTTTGATTTTTAAATTATTATTATCTCAATCTTTCTATTAAATGTCTTATTCTGATCACGCAGATTTCCTCATTTTGTTGAATTGTGTCTCTACATTTTCTTGATGTTTGCTGAGCTCTCTTAGTTATTTTTAATTTTTAGTCAGGCACTTTGTACATCCTCATTTCTTTAAGGTCAGTCACTGGCACTTTATTTCATCCCTTTGGTGATATCATATTTCCCTGATTGTTCTTGATCCCTGTGGTCATGTGTCATTGTCTGGAGATTTGAAGAAGTAGATACTAATTCCAGTTACAGACTGACTTTATCTCAGAAAACGCAACAGTCAGCCTGTTCCAAGATTCTGGGCAGGCTGTGTGGTGTGATCCATAGGACTTGGGCTGCTGTGGTAAGTGTGGCACTGGGGTATTCCAGAAGCCCAGGGCCACTGTGGTGGGTGCAGCACTGGGGTGGGCCCAAAGCCCAGGTTCCATGGAGGCTGATGTAATGCTGGGGCACACCAGAAGCCTGAGGTCCATCTCAGGCCCACTGTGTACCTGAAGCCCAGGGCTGCTAAGGCCTACCAGAGCCTGGGACTGCTGAAGTAGGCCCAGTGGCTGTATGGGCCTGGAATCTAGTCTGTTATGCAAGCCTGAAGCCTGGGGCTGCATGGTCCTGCTTGGCACCAGGGCAGGTCTGCAGGCTTAGTCTGTGGGTACTGGCTTGGAGTGTGGGGCTATTAATGTCTTCCTGGTGCTGAGTTTTACTGTCACAGGCCCAGTGTTGGAGTCCAAGGCAAAGTTCTGTGCTCACTTTCCTCTTTTTCCCCCAAGTGGACAGTGTTTCTCTCCACACTGTGCTGACCGGGGTTGGGGGAGAGTGAGGCAGGTAATGTGAAACTGTCCTTTCTATTCTCCTTAATGTGTATTTTTTAGTTATTATTTTGCTGCAACCAGGAACTGTGATCTTTCATCTGGTTTCCTTAGCTCTTATGGATCTATTTTCACTTGTGGATGCTTGTTCAAACTGATGTTTCTGCAGGGGGACAGTCACTGAAGTGATCTATTCTGCCATCTTGCTCTACCGCTCTCACATATATCTGATTTTAATTTTTCAAAGAAAAAGGTGTTACCTTCTTAGTACTGCCTTTTAGTTCTTTTAACAAATCTGTATATCTCACTTTAACCTTTCAGAGGGAAAGGTGGTACCTTCTAAGTGCTACCTTTCATCTCAGTGACATAGTGGTCTATATCTGTGGCATATTAGAGAATGACCAACAACAGTGCCTCAGCTAACAAAGATATTTGATTCTGTAACATAACAAGAGATTGGTGGTTCTGAGGGTGGTTCAGAAGCTCAAGGTCGTCATTGAGAACTGACTGACACTTCTTCAAACATTGTGCTCTGAGATCCCAGCGTATTGGATCTTCCTCATACTTGCTCCCTGATGGTTATAAGAGAGAAAGCACAGTCGCTGACATCAAACCCTGACAGCACATGGAAGGTATAGCCTTTGCTAGCAGACTCTTCTTGCAGGCTTGTCTTTCTTACTAAAAAAATATATTTCTCAGAAACCCCTCAGCCGATTTCCAGTTATGTCCTCTTTGATGAGACCTGTGTCATATGGCCACTCTTAGCTGCAGGGAAGACTGGGAAAACAGGTGTCTGTCAAATGACAATGGGGTCACCACGAATGGTTCAGATCACTACAGTTTAGTCCCTGGGTTCCAATCAGACCTTTATTTTTCTGCCCAACTGTTTTGGTGGCAAAATAAAAAGGGAGAAGAAAATAACAAATTTGTATACTTTCTTTGAAAAAGCGTCCCTGATGGTTTATTTCAAATAGCTTTTCCTTCTATAACCTAACCATCTAAGACAGTGATGGAGAAATATTTTGGACTTAAGAATCCTTTATGCTTTTAAAAATTATCAAGAACGCAAAGAGTTCTTTGTTTATATGTGTTTCATCAGTCAGTGTTTAATTTTGAATAGTTACCAAATTTGAGTATTATTTTCATAGATTTTTCAAATATTCTGCTGTTAGGTGCATATACATTTAGAATTTACCATATTTGAAATTAAAATGAAAACCTTTAAAAAGTACTTATTAATTTTAAAATAGCAATAATAAACATACTACATGTTAAAAGTTAAAAGTTTTAACCAGAAATAACCATTTTGCAAAAAAAAATAGATTAGTAAGAAGTGGTATTGTCTTGCAGTTTGGAAACTTCTTTAATGTCTTGGTTAATAGAAGTCAGCCAAATTCTCATATCTGCCTCTGCATTAATCTATGGCAATATGCTAGTTTCATTGAAATTGTGAAGCTGTGCAGTAGGAAAAGAAAGGATTATTTTAGTAGCTTTTTCATTTTTGAGAATATTCTTCTTTGATACCATATAGAAACTTGAGAAGTGGTAGTTTCTTAAAGGTTAGTTGCAATGTGGAATCTGAAACCATATTAATGAACCTTTTATATTGTTACTGAAAATTTACTATTGTAGCTTGAAATTTGCGTGGATCTTTCACCCATGAGTTATTTTATAACATCATGTATTGGTAGATTGGGAAACAGTAGTTCACTCAACTATGCAGATCTTCCAAATATGTTATATCTCACTAGTCTCAAAAAAGACATTTTTTTTTCTTTTCAAGTATTTGGAAACTGTCATGCTCATGATCATGGAAATAAGTTTTATAAAATTCTAATTTTTAGTCGACGACTTTAATTTTATCACTGGCAACAAATACTGTCAGTTGTTTTCCTTGAAGTCCCTGGCTCACTTTGCTTATTTTCAAGAAAATGTCTGTCAAATATCCAAGTCTGAAAAACCATGGTTCTTGTGTTGTCTGTCAGCTGTTCTTTCAAATCAAAACAGTATTCAAGGAGAAAAGTGACTAGATCAGCTCACAGCTCCAGCAATTGCTATGGTGCTTTTTGTTGAGACAACTATGGAACTTCAGTACATAGCTGTACTTTATGTGTGGTTTTCATTTCATCACACTGGGTATTAGAAAGACATACTCATGAACGAATCAAATGAACAATTTTTATTGCTTCTTTATGGATGTTTGTGAGGGAAACAACTTTCTTTTTCTTTTCATGCATAGGAGTGAAGAATACAATGACTGCCAATTCACCTTGGTGCTGTGATCTTGATTCCTGCAAACATACCAGCAGTTTTACCCACCATCGCTTTTGTACTATCAGTACAGAGGCCAGTACAGTGGAAAAGGTAAATAATGTCTTTTATCTTATTATAAAATAGTTTCAACATCACAAGCCTCCTGAAGAATTGTGGGGATCACCAGCTGTTTGTGGACCACACTTCAAGAACTGCTGTTCTAAGAGTTAGTTGTTTCAGTCTTTTTAAAAAGTTTAGTCTCACTCCTGTTCTTTTCAAATAATGAGATGCTTTTGGTTATGTATATTTGTCAAGTACAAAATTCCTACTTTTTATAATTTGGTTCCATAAAAGTTAAGGTACCCCACTCTTTCTTCAAGGAAGTAGTATCTTAGAGTATACTGGAGTTTGATAATAAAACACATGTAAAGAAAACACAAGGTAGATGTCATTAAACTTACCATTACAAGTACCATTTTACAGTGAGGAAGCTGAGGCACAGAGAGGTGAAGAATTAGCTCAAAGACACACAGCTAGTAGGAGTGGGGCCAAGACTTAAATCCATGTATTCTGACTTTGGTGCTCACACACTTAGCCAGTACTGTCCTGTTCAGTGTGTTGGTGCAAGGAACAGCAACATGACTTGTACTTTGGAGGGGAAATCCTAACATGTGCTTGACTACTTAAATACTACAATTTTACTGGGCATGTAAGCTCCTAAATTTTTAGAAAATTATCTCACACCTTTTGGCATGTGATTTACTAGGGTATTTTAGGTTCCTGCTACTTTTTATTTTCCAGGTTTTATGATACCACTGATGTAATAAAATGTTAAGATCCCTAAGTACCAAACCAAGTCTCAGTAGAGGGCAAACAGAAGTCTGAGTCTAGGTAGTGAAGGTGTACTTACAGCCTTGCCAAGTAAAAACAGCTTCTGGATATTTGCCTATTGGTGTATGAACTCTCCAACTATAAATGTGGATTTCTCTATTTCTACTTTCGGTTATGTCAGTTTTTGCTTTATGTATTTTGATACTCTGTTGTTAGGTGCATATACATTTAGAATTAATATATGTTCTTAGGGAAACAATTCCATTATTATGTAATATCATTCTTTACCTCTAATAATATTCCTTCCCCTGAGGTCTATTTTTTTCTTATATTTCAGCTTTATTTGATTAGACTTTGCATGGTATGTCTTTTTCTATCTTTTGACTTTAGCCCATCTATATCTTTATAGTTTAAGTGAGTTTCTTATAGACAGCATACAGTTAAGTCATGCTTTCTGTAAAAACATACAACACAATAATCTTTTGATTGGTGTTTTTAGACTATTCATATTTAGTATAATTATTTTGTGATTAGATATACCAACTTGCTAGGTTTTTTTTTTTTTTTTTTCCTGGGTTCACACCATTCTCCTGCCTCAGCCTCCCGAGTAGCTGGGGCTACAGGAGCCCGCCACCACGCCCTGCTATTTTTTTGTGTTTTTAGTAGAGACGGGGTTTCACCATGTTGGCCAGGATGGTCTCGATCTCTTGACCTCGTGATCCACCCGCCTCGGCCTCCCAAAGTGCTGGGATTACAGGCGTGAGCTACTGTGCCCAGCTGCTAGGTTTTTATAAAAATACATTTTTTTCTTTTTGGCTTTTTTGGGGTTAAGTGAACATTCTTTATGATACTTTATGATTGCATTTAAAATAAAATAAAGTATTATTTATATTTCTCTTTAAAGTATTTTCAGTATTTGCCATAGGGTTTATAATCTACATCTTTAATTTAGCAGCATCTGTCTTCAAATATGGTTGTGCTGCTTCATGTGTAGTTGAGGATGTTACAATAGTGTATTCCCAATTTCTCTCTCCCATGCATTGTGTTTTTTCATACATTTTGCTTTTTTGTATTTTATAGAAACACAGCACATTGCTACTATTATTGCTTTAAATGTTATTTTTGGAGAAATAAAAATATGGAAAATAAAATTTATTTGTATCTTAATTTAACTTGTTTCTGACACGACTTCTTTGTGTGAATCCAAATTTTTTTACTTGGTATCATCTGCTTTAGAAACTTAAAAAAACTTTTTTGTAGTGCGGGTTTGATGGCAGTGAATTTTCTCAGTTTTTGTCTGAGAAAAATCTTTATTTCTCCTTTATTTTTGAAATATACAGGTTCCTGCATATAGAATTGTGGCTTTCAAATTCCAGTATTTTATACCGTTGTAGGATGACTATAGTTAATAATACATAGCTTCAAATGGCTAGAGAGAGGATGTTGAATGTTCCCAACAAAAAGAAATAATGAATGTTTGAGATGATGGATATGGTAATTACATATATCTGGTCACTATATATTATATATATCCAGACATCACCATGTACCCCATAAATATGCACGATTATTATATATCAATTAAAAATAAAATATTAAAAAGAATTCTGAGTTGGGAGATTTTTTCCTTTTCTTTAAGTGCTTTAAAGATGTTGCTCCATTGTCCTGTGGTTTTCATGTTTTCAGACAAGGTCCCTTGTAATTCTTCTCTTTGTTCTTCTTTAGATAATGTCTTTTTTCTTTGGTTGCCTTGAAGATTTTCTGTCTTTTTTTTTTTTAGCAGTTTGAATATAGAGTGGTTTTAAACATATATATAATCTTTTTGTGTGCTCTGAGCTTCTTAGATCTGTGATTTGGTATCTGTCATTATTTTTAGTTTTGTTAACAATTCTATCCAAATTATTCTCACCAATCTTCAGCTGTGTCTTCCTCAAGTAAGCAAATGTGTATTTTTCATCTCTCCCCTGAAGTACATGTCTTTTTTTTTTTATAGTTCACGCTGTTTAGTTGCCTTGCAACCTCAGATTCTTTACAGATGGTCATAAACTTACAGTTTGTCAGACTTCGTATGCGTGTGTTTTTAAAGATGAGAGTGATGTTTGTATTAGGCTGTTTTTGCATTGCTATGAAGAAATACTTGAGGCTGGGTAATTTATATAGAAAAGAGGTTTAATTGGCTTATGGTTCTGCAGGCTGTACAGGAAGCATGGTGCTGCCATCTGCTTCTGGTGAGGCCTCAGGAAGTTTGCAATCATAGTGGAAGGTGGCAGGGAGCCAGCATGTCACATGGTGAGAGTGGGAGCAAGAGAGACGGGGGAGGTGCCATACACTTTCAGACAACAAGATCTTTCTCAAGTGAACCTAGTGCAAGAACTCACTGTCACTAAGGGGAGATGGTGCTTAAACCATTCATAAAGGATCTGCCCCCGCGATCCAATTACCCCTGACCAGGCCCCACCTCCAACATCAGGAATGACATTTCAACATGAGATTTGGAAGAGACAAACCTCCAAACCATATCAGTGTTCTTTCCAGCTCTCTACATACCAAGCAGAGCTCCTAACTTTTTCTCCATGGAACTAATTTTGCAGAGAAAAAACTAATGCAACGGGCTGATGCACACAGATTTCATGGATCTTACCAGGCACATTTTCCATATAAACAACTGTCCTTAGTAAATTAGAATGACTTTTTGAAATTTCAGTAAATGCTGAACAAGAGACTCTTTTTAGAGTTGGGGAACTATCCTCCAAGTTCCAGTATGTTCAGTTTTAGTGGCCAATACAGTGTCTGATTTTTTCTGTAGCCAGAATACAAGGGTTATGCAGCCAAGGGATAAAAATTATAGTGGTACTTCATACTATTCTTTTTTTTTTTTTCTGAGACAGTCTTGCTTTGTTGCTCAGGATGGAGTGCAGTGGCATGATCTCAGCTCACTGCAGCCTCCGCCTCCTGGGTTCAAGCAATTCTCTTGCCTCAGCCTCCTGAGTAGCTGGGATTACAGGCGTGTACCACCATGCCCGACTAATTTTTGTGTTTTTAGTAGAGACAGGGTTTTACCGTGTTGGTCAGGCTGGTAACAAACTCCTGACCTCGTGATCCACCTGCCTCAGCCTGCAAAGGCACTTCATACTATTCTTGAAAAACTTTTACTTCCTTTTCCTGAGCACCTTGGCAGTTTGCTGGGTTTAGAGATCTTAGTTTCTAAGGGATAAATGTTGTCACTGTGTGTTGTCACAAACATTCCATTAAATTCAATGTTGAAAACTGCTACCTGTCCATATAGGGCTCCCATGATGCAGCATGAATATAGAATGTATGAGGTTGCCACGTTGATTGCACTGATCCTGATTATCAAGGAGAAATAGGGTTGCCCCTACACAATGGCAGCAAGGAGAACATGACAGGAGAAGAGGAGATCCTCTGGGCGATTCTTAATGTTGCTAAGTACAGTGGAAAAGTTAGTGGATGTCTAACAAAACCCAGGAGGGACCATCAAGGGGCTCAGAAATTCTGGAAATGAAGTGTTAGTTCTCCCTACCAGATATAAAACCTTGACCTTCTTTGATGTTGGCCGAGGGCAATGGGAACTTAGAATAGAGAATAGAGGAAGAAAAGCATTAAACCAATTACAGCCTGGGAGACAGCTGCAGAAATAGGAATATAACATTTATTTATACTTTATCTCTTGCTTGGCCACGTATATATTCAAGATTTTTAACTAATTTTATTACATTTTTCTATCCCCTTTCCCCACTTTTATGTTGTTGTTGTTGCTTTGAGATGGAGTTTCGCTCTTGTTACCCAAGCTGGAGTGCGGTGGCGCAATCTTGGCTCACTGCAACCTCCACCTCCCGGGTTCAAGTGATTCTCCTGCCTCAACTTCCCAAGTAGCTGGGATTACAGGTGCCCACTACCACATCCAGCTGATTTTTGTATTTTAAGTAGAGATGGGGTTTCGCCATGTTGGCCAGGCTGGTCTCGAACTCCTGACCTCAGGTGATCTACCTGCCTTGCCCTCCCAAAGTGCTGGGATTATAGGCATGAGCCACAGCATCCAGGCCCACTTTTAAAATATAGAATATGTTGTGATAATTTACTTTATAATTTCCTTCATAAGTTACACGATATCAAGACGAATTACAGAATAATAATATGTTTTGTTGGTTAGTGGGGCTCATGAACACAGGCTTAGGGATTGTTAGTGGGAGTGATTCTTAATCTCTGATCCTCCAGGTTTGTGGTTAAAAGGTTAGTGGCAGAGAAAGTAATGCTCACCATATTTCTATGCCCTCCCCTTCATTTCCAAATCTTCTTGCACTCGAGTCCATCCTGTATGACTAGCCCTAGCTAATGATCCATGTGCGAAAATGACATGGGCCATTTATGGACCAAGGCAGTTTAGAGCCATGTGCCCCTTTCAGTGCTTTCTTCCTCTGCCACTGAAATCTTGGAGGCCATGTGTCCAAGCTGGTGCAGCCACAAGATGAAAGAAGGCTGAACAATCTGGATATTAATTTGGTGGGTGATAAATCTTTATTGTGTTCAATTGCCGAGTTTTGAATTTATTTGTTATCACATATAACCTATTAACCTGTTCTGGTATGACTAATATAAGATTACAGGATTGATGGCCATATATATATATATATATATATATATATATATATATACAGAAAGAGAGTTATATTTTATGGTATAATTAGAATCATACTTTGCTCGATATTCTTGGTATTTAAATAGGAAGTTGTGAGCAAACCTATTATGCATTTCTTATTTGCTACCATGTGAACCCAGAAATCTCCACATCTCTGTGCTATAGATTTATATATATCCATGGACAGAGAGATTTATATATATCCAGAGAGAGAGAGAGAGAGAGAGAGAGAGAAGACGGTAGTTATTTTGCTGGAATCAGTGATTGGAAATCAGAATAGGATAGCATAACAAATCCTTCCATTGCTATCACTGAGGCACTTGGTTTCTTAAGCAAAATGCAAAGTCATGTTACTCACACCTTGAATCAGCTTGATTCAGAGCCTGAATCAAATCCAAATAACCCATCAGAAGGCTGAGATGCATGTGACCTGTGTGTCAGTGTACTCTAAAATGCCTAGGTAAAACAAGTATTTCACATTAATAGTCCTTTCTGTTACGATTTTCTCTATGCAAAATAGAATGTTGGTTGAGGCACGATGATTTTTTCTACTTAATTTTTTTTCTGTAAGAATATGCAGGACTTTTATCTTCCCTGTCTGTTTTTTCTCTAAGAGGTTTAAAACAGGACATACAAATTTGGTGTGTGTATTTCTGTTGAAAGGTCAGAAGACTGGTACAGGTCTAAAATATTTTGCTGGTTACCTCATTTGTGAAATGAGAACAGCTGGACCAGGTAATCTCTGAGGTTCTTTTCTGCTCTAAAATTCCGTGATCCTGCAGTTGAAAAAAAAATGTAATTTTTGGAGAGCGTATCCAAGGTTAATTTAATGTGTGGTGACCTTCATGATCTTTAGAGTTTTCCAAGTGAGGTAATAGAACATGTTATTCTCTGGAGCAGAGAAGCAGCTGTGAGGGTACTGGAGATAGGAGTCTGTCGTAACCACTATTTCTCTTCACTATTGGTACCTGGATGCAAATGTACCACGTGGCAGCAGGGATACTTTTGAGGTTCACTAGAGCTGGCTCCCAGGGTGATAGGGACTCTGCTGAAAAGCCTGCTTGTCTAGAAACACTTCTTCCCAGCCCTATTCCAGGGCCCGAGCCTCCTCCAATACGCACGGCTATGCTCCATTACAATGGGGCGTGCTCTATTAGGCTGCTAACTTGATCGCAACCACAACCACCAAGAACCTGTTATTTGGTGCTGCCCTAAATAAAATGGGAAAGTCAGGGAAATCAGTTGTTTACCAGCAGGCACTAACCCCTGTCATTTTCTTCACTTTTACGATCTGAGGACTGCCCCTTCAGTTGGGGAAAAGGTCTGGCAAACTCATCTTCCTTACTTTGTGAGGAACTTAGCGTATCTCACAAGATAATTATGTTTTCGAACAGACCTGATGGGAAAAGATAGACTCCAACACAAACAAATGAAGATATAATGCAACTAACTTCATACATCAGGAGGGGAAAAGATGTGTGTAGGGTTTCTTAGCAGTCCTCATCTTCTGAAGTGGGAAGACTCTTTTTGACCTGCCTAGGTCTGACTCAGTCATGCCATTTAGGTCTAATCGCATGTAGCTTAATCTCTGAGCAAATTCTTTAGACCACTCCCTACTTCCAGGCACTTTCTGACATCTCTGAAGACTGCATGTAAGCCAGATGCATTACTAAGCAGATCAACTCTTATGGATGAGATTTTGTGATCCTGGGTTAATGTCTTTTCCCTGCTTTGCCTCATGTTTTAATGATCAACAATCATCTTCGCCTCTGGCAAAGAGACAGATAGAATCAGTCCTCTATCTTAATAGCTGTCTTCATTACCTTGGCAAAATCCATCAACCAGGATCTGAACCTCATCTAAAACCTGGGCACTCTCTTCCTGAGACATCCAACCCAGACAAAGCAGGCCTCATAATTAAGTCTCTGAGCCCTGGATGGTTGGAGCTGTGTGAAGTCCCTTTTCACAGTTGAACATGAAGGACCTTATCGTAATATACAAATCCTAAAACCTAGCAATAAAACTGCACCATCTCTCAATCTTAACCTATCTGAGTGAAACCAGAGAAGAATATAATTTTAGGTGAGTCATCTGATGCAGGCTGTTTGATATAAAAAGATAGTAAATAGGAAGCATTTTAGTGGGAAAAAACAAAACAAACCAAACAGAGGCTTGAGATTTGGAGCCAGAAATTCATGGTTTGCATCCTGTCAATTTAGTGGTTATGTGGCCTGGAATAATTAACAAGCTGCCTGAACATCTATTGATTTACCAGCTAAAACAGGAGTCATAAGAAGAACAGCAAATGGAATAATGCCCATCTCATATCGTGCTTGTGTGAATTAATTACAAGGAATAGAAAAATGCCTGCCGCGGCACCTGTTTCTGACAGTACAAGTCAACTTCCTTTCTTTTGCTCTGATACCTAGCCGTGAGTTTTTTCCTTGAGAAAACATAGGACCAGAGTTTTATCCCTCAGCAGAGAGCATTTACAAGTGCTGTCTTGATGGATTAACAAGATATTTACTAAGCCCCTGGGTTTTTTTTTGGTGTAAATTTATGGGGTGCAAGTGCAAATTGATCACATGCATGGATTATGCAGTGGTCAAGTCAGGACTTTTAGTGTACCCATCACCCAAATAATGTACAATGTACCCATTAAGTAATTTATTATCATCTACTCCCCTCCCACCTCCTCACCCTTCCAAGGCTCCATTGTCCATCATCCCACTCTCTAAGTCAAGGTGTACACATTTTGTGGCACTTCCTTATGAGTGAGAACATGCAATATTTGACTTTCAGTGCCTGGCTGGTTTCACTCAAGATGGTGGCCTACATTTCCATCCTTGTTGCTGCACG
Source organism: Homo sapiens (assembly GCF_000001405.40). Taxonomy (NCBI): domain Eukaryota; kingdom Metazoa; phylum Chordata; class Mammalia; order Primates; family Hominidae; genus Homo; species Homo sapiens. The sequence goes on along the minus strand of NC_000001.11, from coordinate 242,753,178 downwards.
TAATTTTGTTCCTTCTTTATGGCTGAATAGTAGTCCATTGTGCAGATATACCACATTTTCTTTGTCCAATCATCCATTGATGAACACTTGGGTTGATTCCATATCTCTGCTATTGAGCACACAGTATGTTAAAAGTGGTTTTCGAACAGACCTAATGGGAAAAGATAGACTCCAACACAAACAAATGAAGCTGTAATGCAACTAATTTCATACATCAGGAGAGGAAAAGATGGGTGTAGGGCTTCTTAGCAGTCCTCATCTTTTGAAGTAGGAAGACTCTTTTTGACCTGCCTAATCCTGATTCAGTCACGCCATTTAGAATACAAAGAAATATGAGCTTGAAGTCATATTTACAAATTACAGCTTAAACATCTAAAGCTGCTTCATTTCATAGGAAAAGACTGTACATGAACATTTTCTAAATTAAAGGTAGGAATAGCACATAATTTTAAAGCCCCCTGGAGGTCTGCCTCTGTTTCAATGTGGTAGGATAAAGCAGACACTTTTCATTATTCTCCATTTGGACAAAAACGTCTTTTTCTCCATGATAAAAATGTCCAAAGTTGGATGGGCTTCTGTGTATGTAGAATCAATTGACATATGGTGACAACTGTTTCGCTGGAAAAATGAGTAACTTACACTTTCTTCCTACTGATTCTGTACATTGCATAACCTCCAGTGACTGCCAACAACCTCCACATCGGTCAGCCTGTGACTTTCTTCGCATCTTGTTGGCTGTCAGAGTGCTCGAGTTACGGCCTATTTTTCAGGTGAACTAGCAAAATTATGATAATTATGCCATCTAAGTTTAACATACATGGAAGATTTAGGGTAAAGTTTAGTTAACTTTTCCTCAGGAAACATTAAAATATTAAAAATTAGGTTTATGCTGGATTTAGTATCCTTGAAATGGGTAGGTATTTTTTTAAATGGCTATGTGTTTGATTAAGAATGATGTGAGATTTAGAAAGCCTGTCTGCCCATCCACAGAGGGTGTATGAAGCATGTGGGAGGAAATTGAAATTCAATAGTCCCTGCGAAAGCCATTGGCTTCTTCTGCTCGAGTGCTCCTCCTCGTGTGGGCTGCTGTGGATCCTTCCTGCAACACGTTGCACATCCATCTTGGAGAAATATCATTTTTTAAATCATGTATTTTGTAAGGAACTTTTTAATTTTAGGACGAAAAAGGTTTCCTTTCTGAGAAAGTCAGTCTTGAGTTTTTAACCCTTAAACAACATTGGCATTTTAACAGAAGTATTGGATTTCCTTTTGGAGCAGCCACTGTCTTTGATCAAAGGATAAAATGGTAATGGATTGACCGTTAACAACCTTGGTTAAAAAAACATTCAAGGCTGGGCGCGGTGCCTCATGCCTGTAATCCCAGCACTTTGCAAGGCTGAGGTGGGCAGATCATGAGGTCAGGAGTTCAAGACCAGCCTGGCCAACATGGTGAAACCCCGTCTCTATTAAAAATACAAAAATTAGCTGGGCGTGGTGGCATGCACTTGTAGTCCCAGCTACTCAGGAGGCTGAGGCAGAAGAATTGCTTGAAGCCGGGAGGCAGAGGTTGCAGTGAGCTGAGAGTGCACCATTGCACTCCATTCTGGGCGACAGAGCGAGACTCTGTCTCAAAAACAAACAAACAAACAAAAATTACAGGTAAACTCGAAATCAGTTTTCATTTGTATTGTGAAATATTTGATACAAAATGAAGATGATATGGATATGTATGCAGGTGAAAATTCACCAAGCCATCCACTTAACATTTGTGTAGTCTACTATAAATTATACCTAAAAGTAAATAACATGTAATATAATACACATTGCAATTATAAAGCATGGTAGTTTAACAGAAAATTCTATTCCCATAACACAACTTGGGAGAGAGAACATTACTAATAATGTGGAGGGCCCTTTCTTTTCTGGCATAAATGAATCCCTTTCTCTGCCTTTCCAGAGGTAGCTGTCTCCTGAATTTTATGTTTATTGTTCTCTTCCATTTCTTTATATTTTCCTACATATATTATTATGCCAAACAGCATCATTTATTTTGCCTGATTTTGAACTGTATGTAAATGACATCATGCACATCATGTCTAAGTTGATTATATTACAGTCAGAGTGAAGCTCCAGAGTCCTTGTCTCTTACTTAGAGTGTAAGTCCCTTGAGAGCAGGCCCATGTTCTTCTTATTCTCCATATTATCTACAGCACATGCCCAACACAGGGTAGGTTGTCATACTTTTTTTTTTTTTTTTTGAGATGGAGTCCCGCTCTGTTACCCAGGCTGGAGTGCAGTGGCGTGGTCTCGGCTCACACAACTTCCGCCTCCCGGGTTCAAGCGATTCTCCTGCCTCAGCCTCCCAAGTAGCTGGGATTACAGGCATGTGCCACCACGCCCAGCTAATTTTGTATTTTTAGGAGAGACGGGGTTTCTCCATGTTGGTCAGGCTGGTCTCGAACTCCCAACCTCAGGTGATCTGCCCACTTTGGCCTCCCAAAGTGCTGGGATTACAGGCTTGAGTCACTGTGTCCGGCCACTTTTTTAAATAAATAAATCTCGGGTGTACCTCCCCCTGATCCCAATAGAAAGGGTTTCAGAGAATGGGAAGCCCTGGTCTCTGGAGGTTTAATCTCCTTCTCTTCGAATGGTACAGGATTTTCCATTCAAAACTGGCTTGATAATAGGGTTGCCAGATTTAGCAAATAAAAATACAGGATGTCTATTAAATTTGAATTTCGATAAACAACTAATTTTTATTTTAAGTACATCTCATGCAGTATCTGATGCATACTGATACTAAAGAATTCTGTTATTTATTTGCAATTCAAATGTAACTCATCATCCTGTATAATATCTGGAAACTCTGCATGGGGATCTCTTGGAAAGAACATATTGCTCCTTCTGAAGCGATTCTGATCCATCGCTTCTGGTTACTCCCTGTCCTTTTCCTTTCACGCAGAATATGAAAATGGTAACCCTGAGCAAAATTTGTCCTGTCTTCTTACACTGCCGCTCTCTTCAGTCAGTAGCTGAACTCATTCTTCTGTTTTGATTGATTAAAAACACATACCAAAAGTGACTATGAATTATAGATTTGTTTCATAATTACCTAGCTAGTTCTACTCAGTTACTCACAAATGACTTCATGCTTTCAAAGCTTTAGTAATATTCATTATCAGATACATTTTTCTATTCTAAAGCCTTAAAATGATAAATTACTTACCAAAGAAAATCTAAAAGTAAAAAAGCAAAGATAGAAATGGAACAGAACAGAGCCCTCAGAAATAACGCCGCATATCTACAACTATCTGATCTTTGACAAACCTGAGAAAAACAAGCAATGGGGAAAGGATTCCCTATTTAATAAATGGTGCTGGGAAAACTGGCTAGCCATATGTAGAAAGCTGAAACTGGATCCCTTCCTTACACCTTATACAAAAATTAATTCAAGATGGATTAAAGACTTAAATGTTAGACCTAAAACCATAAAAATCCTAGAAGAAAACCTAGGCATTACCATTCAGGACATAGGCATGGGCAAGGACTTCACGTCTAAAACACCAAAAGCAATGGCAACAAAAGCCAAAATTGACAAATGGGATCTAATTAAACTAAAGAGCTTCTGTACAGCAAAAGAAACTACCATCAAAGTGAACAGGCAACCTACAAAATGGGAGAAAATTTTTGCAACCTACTCATCTGACAAAGGGTTAATATCCAGAATCTACAATGAACTCAAACAAATTTACAAGAAAAAAACAACCCTATCAAAAAGTGGGTGAAGGATATGAACAGACACTTCTCAAAAGAAGACATTTATGCAGCCAAAAGACACATGAAAAAATGCTCATCATCACTGGCCATCAGAGAAATGCAAATCAAAACCACAATAAGATACCATCTCACACCAGTTAGAATGGCGATCATTAAAAAGTCAGGAAACAACAGGTGCTGGAGAGGATGTGGAGAAATAGGAACACTTTACACTGTTGGTGGGACTGTAAACTAGTTCAACCATTGTGGAAGTCAGTGTGGCGATTCCTCAGGGATGTAGAACTAGAAATACCATTTGACCCAGCCATCCCATTACTGGGTATATACCCAAAAGACTATAAATCATGCTGCTATAAAGACACATGCACACGTATGTTTATTGTGGCACTATTCACAATAGCAAAGACTTGGAACCAACCCAGATGTCCAACAATGATAGACTGGATTAAGAAAATGTGGCACATATCCACCATGGAATACTATGCAGCCATAAAAAATGATGAGTTCATGTCCTTTGTAGGGACATGGATGAAATTGGAAATCATCATTTTCAGTAAACTATCACAAGGACAAAAAAACAAACACCGCATGTTCTCACTCACAGATGGGAATTGAACAATGAGAACACATGGACACAGGAAGGGGAACATCACACTCTGGGGGCTGTTGTGGGGTGGGGGGAGGAGGGAAGGATAGCATTAGGAGATATACCTAATGCTAAATGACGAGTTAATGGGTGCAGCACACCAGCATGGCACATGTATACATATGTAACTAACCTGCACATTGTGCACATGTACCCTAAAACTTAAAGTATAATAATAATAATAATAAAGAAAATGTAAAGGAAAGTGATGATCCTTGCTTCCTTTATTCAGAGACAACCATTGTTAACGCTAGTTTTTAATTCTATTTTTCATCATTTAAAAATGTATATTTATACATGCTAATTCATATTTTTTGAACATTTGTCTCACTTAGACAAAGCCTGAGATTTAACCAAACTTTTAAGTTGTTTCCAATTTTATATAGTTACAAATAGCTTCAATAAACATCTCATTTAAAGTCCGTTTCTGGTATTCATGTAAGTGACAGTCATTATTCTATGCTCTGGGGCCATTACAGTGAATACAACAATGTCTCTGCTCTGAGACAATTAACAAGGGAGAAAGAAAATTATCAGATATATAAGGAAATATATAACATATGAGCTAATGATAAGTGCTGTGAAAGAAAATGAGAGAATAAATTGGAAGGAAGATAAGCAGCTGGCATTTAAAAAGAAAGATGAAGGGAAGTCTATCCCAGGAGATGGCATTTAAGCAGATACCTGGGTGAGTGGCGAGTGAGCAGTAAGGCAAGTGGGGACAAGCATTCAGCAAGTGCAAATCCCACGAGGCAGGAGGATGCTCCGTATTCTTTCCTATTCAAGGCACAGAGGAAAGATCAGTATTGCCGTACTGTGGGGAAGGGGGGAAGAGTGGTGCAAAGTGAGGTCAGAAGGCAGGGAGGAGCAGGGTGTGGGTTTTATTTCTAATCACAGTGGGAAGCCATTTGTACCTCATGCCCGGGAATGACCCTTCAAGAATGTCATTCTGGCTTCTATACGAGAGGATACGAGTAGAAACAGGACTGCCAGTTAGGATGCTACTGCAGCAGCCTGAGAATGGAAATGATGGTGGCCTGGGTTGAATTTGTAGTGATGGAGATGTGAGAAATTGGTTCAAGATACATTTTGGAATTGATATCGATAGGATGTGCCAATAGATTGATGTGGAAAGTGAAGAAAAAGTGGAATCAAGGAGGATTTTAATTTCAGGTTTTTTGGCCGTGTGTGAATAGTAGAGCCATTCTCTTAGATAAGAAAGACTAGAAGACTAGGAGTTGTGTGTGTGCATGTGTGTGTGCCAGTGCGTGCATGTGTGTGCCTGTGTGTGCATGCGTGTAAACATGTGTGCATGTGTGTACGTGTGTGCATGTATATGCACCTGTGTGTGCATATATATTTGCCTGTCTGTGTGCATGCATGTGTCTGTGTGTGCCTTTGTGTACCTGTGTGTGCATGTGTATACATGCATGTGTGTATGCATGTCTTGTGTACATGTGTGCATGTGTGTGTCTCTGTGTGCGCATGTGTGTGTGCATGTGTGTGTGCATGTTGGGTGTGGTGGTGGGGAAGAATCAGTAGCTGTTTTTAACATGTCACGTTTGAGATGCCATTGAAAGATGCATGGCAAGCTTCCTAGTGGACAGTGTGATTCCCAATACTGTAGCTCAGAGGAGAGGACAGAGCACAGTGCCATACTGGGGCCTGAGGCAGAAGGAAAAACCAATAATACCGATCTGTCTTTACTAAAATGCACATATTTTGTTAATGATGCATTTTTGGGTTTTCATTATCTTTCTAAAAATATTGTATTGAAATATTATTTATCAATTATATAATAGTGATTATTAAATTTTTGGATACCCCTGAAATTTTAAGTTTGAGCCTAGTGCCTCACTTGCCGAACCCTGGTCCAGGCCCTTTTAGGACTCAATGCTATATTGACAGTATTTAAAACCATGAGCCTATATGAGATCCTTTAGAGAGGGAGTACGGATAGAGAAGTCAGGAAGAGAATGTGCAGCCGAGGAGACAGAGAAGAAACAGCCAGTGAGTTGGGAAGAAAACAGGGATAGAGAATGTGCATTTATCATTATTAACAGTAATCACTACCACCATAGCAAATGCACTGATTTATCATCCCATTAGACATTACGGCAACTATCCAGAGATGAGTACTTTATTATCCTTATTTTGTAGATGAGGAAATAGAAACTTAGGTTAAGTTGCCTGATTTCGTTATGATCCCAGAACCCACTATATACGCTCCTGACCACTGTATTCTCTCACAGCCTTTTGTTTATACCCATGACCTCCCCCCAACTTTATTATGGCGTTTTCTTTAGTTTTTGACACAATATCAGTAAGAGTAGAAAAATGCTTACCAAGTTGAATTAGATGAGAAGATGGACAATTGTTTGGTGGACTCTAAGTCATCGAGTTACAGCTAATAATAAGAAAACTTGCTGGATTAAAAAATCTGGAATATATTTTGTTCACATTTCAACTATTTAAAAAATCCTTCTCTTTCATAAATGGCATTCTGTTTTTGCTTCTGTCTCAGTCTTGCTGAATTCCAGCTCAAACACATTCTTCTCTTGACGTCTTAGATAAACCATTTATTTATGCTTCTTTGTTTTTCATATGTTAATGTACCGTGCTGATGTTAAAATTTGCTGCGATGTGCTTGGGATTAATTTATGAGAGTGTTACTAAACTGAACAATAACCTCTTGATACTTAGCATTTGTTCAACATTTACTATGAGCCCGGCTCTGGGCTAAGAGTATATTATGTATTATCTCATTAAATTCTTCTTTTTTTTTTTGAGACGGAGTCTCACTCTGCCATCAGGCTGGAGTGCAGTGGCGCGATCTTGGCTCAGTGCAACCTCTGCCTTCTAGGTTCAAGTGATTCTCCTATCTCAGCCTCCCAAGTAGCTGAGACTACAGGCATGTGCCACCACGCCCAGCTAATTTTTGTATTATTAGTAGAGATGGGGTTTCACCGTATTGGCCAGGCTGGTCTTGAACTCCTGACCTTGTGATCCGCCCGCCTTGGCCTCCCAAAGTGCTGGGATTACAGGCATGAGCCACCGCGCCCAGCCTATTTCATTAAATTATTAACACAAACTTATGGGCTGAATACGATGATTATCAACTTTCTTTTGATGAAGAAACTGAGACATAAAAGTGGTTAGATAATAACTACTTTATTATAAAGCAAGTTACAAAGCAAGGAAGTTTCAGAGACTGAAATGAACTCAGAAACGAAGAGTTCTTCACCACTTACTATTGCCTTCCTTGTTCAGTCCCCTAGTATCACTGAAAAAGTTTGTGCACTGGCCACAGTTAGAGAAAATGTGAGTGTAGGCCCATCTCCAAATGGCTTATTCACTTTACTTTTGTGTCTCTCATGTTATCTCATCCTTCTGGAATTTTGTACGCCTATTCACAGTAGCCCCAAATGGCCAACATTGATAACTCCAGGGTTAATGCATTCCTGCAGTGACAACACCTGTTTATTTCTTTCAAGCCCTGCTGGCATGCTGCTTTCCTCTTTTAGACACTATTAAGTCAGCACTCTGCACCAAACAATTTTCTCAAATTGACCTGGCCCTTCTGATAAACTGGCAGTTCTTTTTAAGTGTATACTTAGAGTCAGAAAAAAAATTATTTTCCAACCTCAACTCTGGCAGAGAGTGAAAAGCTGCCTATATTCTGTTTTTTCAATGTCCTGTATAGGCATTCACCACCAATAATAAGCTCAGTGTAAGGCAGAACAGCCACAGGCATGGCAAAGGTTTCATGACATCTGAATACGGAGGGAGGAAATTACTTCATAGAGAGGAAGGCATTTATCTTCAAACCAACAATAAAATTTCAGGCTGAACAAAATCCCAATGCCCACTGAGATATTTTCACTCCTATGTAACGTTTTTGAACTGGTATTTACATGGTAATTTTCCTCTCCATCAAGTGTGTCTGGGCAAATCGTTTAATATATTTTTCTCATTCATTTTTCTGAATTTTTCTCTCCATTCCTGAAGAGATGTATGTGTTCCAGTATCCTTATTTCCAGAGAAATCAGCCCCCAAGGGTTTGCCTTGAAATGAATGAGCCGGTCAGCAAATATGTCCCTGTCCTCAAGTCCCACCTCTTCTTTGAATGCTTTTTCACCATCTGAGCCCTATGTGATGATACCCTTTTGTGGACACTCCCATATTTATCTCTCATTGGTTCCTAAATGCCTTTCTTGGGACAGACGGTATCACAATCACCGTGGTCACTCGTGAGAAACATAGATCATCAGGCCATACCCCAGATCTGCTGAATCATATTCTCTAAGGTTTGGCTCAATAATCTATATTTTAAATAGTCTCTCAAGGCAAGCTGCCTTGACTTGAAGCATCCTTGTCTCTGACCGCTACCCCTTAACCACTCTGCTCACATCCTCTAGAATCCTTGCCCCAGACATCTTTCAAGCACAGGGACCTCCAGCCCATTGACCCACTGATTCTTCCCCTCCCCTCTCACCCTTCATCTCCTTGCTTTGCTTCTTACCCATATTAGCTATCATGACTCAGCAACATAGATTCTCTAGTCCCTGGTCTCTTTCTCCCTTCTTGTAACTTTCTCAGGAACATTCCAACTCTGGGTTTGTCTAACCATCTCCCTACTCTGTTGCCTGCACCTGCGCAGCTAAATATGTCAGAAGAAAACCACAAAACCAGGCCAACTGGTCACATTTTAATTTATTATCATAAATTCACATGGATGGTCCATGCTGATAGAAAAATCCCACCATCCCTCCTCCCTGTCACTATTTCACACCATTTTTTCCCTTCTCTTTAAGTCTCTAAGCCTCTTCTTCAATGCTCAAAATAGAAGCACTCAGATGAGAAATCCTTCACCTTGCCACCAAAGGTACCGGCAGCCCACCTTGCACCTGTACCCTAGAGCTTTGCTTTCCCATGTGCTGTGCTGGGAGCTGCATTCTGCTTCTATGGAAAGCCAGCACCTGCTCTTTTACTTTGGATCCTATTTACCCTCCCATCTTCAATAATTTTATCTCTACAATTTCCCTTAGTTTCCCTCCTGTATCATCAGTTTTTTCTCTTTTCCTGATTCTGCCATCAGATAGACATGTCTTCATATCTTCCATTAAAAAATACTTCTTTGGGCCAGGCACAATGGCTCATGCCTGTAATCCCAGCACTTTGGGAAGCCGAGGTGGGTGGATCACCTGAGGTCAGGAGTTCGAGACCAGCCTGGCCAACATGGTGAAACCCCGTTTCTACTAAAAATTCAAAAACACTAGCCGGGCTTGTTGGCACTTGCCTGTAATTCCAGCTACTCAGGAGGCTGAGGCAGGAGAATCGCTTGAACCAGGGAGGTGAAGGTTGCAGTGAGCCAAGATCGTGCCACTGCACTCCAGCCTGGGCAACAGAGAGAGACTCTGCCTCAAACAAATAAGCAAACAAAATTTCTTTGGTCTCATATGTTTTACCCACTCACTACCCCATTTTTTCTGCTTATCTTATAGAAAAACTTTTTGTGAGATTTGACTCAACTGCTGTCTCACTTTTTATATTCCTGTCTCATGCCACTCTAATAGAACTGTTGACTCCAACCACTCTATCCTTGAAACATCATTGACAAAGGTCTCCAGTTAGTTCCATCTTAACAGACTGCAAGGCCAAATCTCTGTTCTTTTCCTTACTGTGCATCTCATTGACGTGGCTGATACAGTTGATCACTCTCATCTTCCTTAAAATACTTCCTTCTTTGGGCTTCTCAGTTTTCTGGTTTCCCTCCCATGTTACAGATTTCTCCCCATTAATCTCTTGTCATAAATTGAGGAGTCATCTTTGATTTCATTCTTTTTTTTATATCCAATATCTAAACTATCAGTACCTTTGGTCAGCATTAAACATTCATCCTAAATCCAACAACTTCTCACCATCCATATTGCTACAGTCCTAGGTGAAGTCACTACCATCTCTTATCTGGACTACTAAAATAGACCTGTTTACTCACTCTGAGCCTTGACCACTTCAAACCATTCTCCACAAAACAACCACAGTAACCTTGTTTAAAGCATAAATACAATACTATCATTTTCCTACCTAGTTAAAATTCTACTTTGGCTTTCTGTTTAAACTAGTTAAATAGTTAAACTATTTAACTAGTTTAGCAAACATCCTACTATGTTCTATAGGGCTCTCTGTTTACTCATCATTCAATAAAATCTACTGAGTAGCTAATATGGGCCAGCTATAGTTTTAGATGTTGAGTAAACATTACTGAACAAAATTAAAATCTTTCCCTTATGTGGCTCTAATATGGAAGACAAATAATTTATAAAAACTTTTTTTTTTTTTTTTTGAGGTGGAGTTTAGCTCATCACCCAGGCTGGAGTGTAATGGCACGATCTCGGCTCAATGCAACCTCCACCTTGTGTGTTCAAGCGATTCTCCTGCCTCAGCCTCCTGAGTAGTTGGGATTACAGGCACCCATTACCACACTCAGCTAATTTTTGTATTTTAGTAGAGACGGGGTTTCACCATGTTGGCCAGGCTCGTCTTGAACTCTTAACCTTGTGATCTGCCTGCCTTGGCCTCCACTTACGAAGTGCCAGGATGACAGGCATGAGCCACCATGCCCGGCCTACAGAAACTTTTAATAAGTAATATATATGGGATATTGAATGGTGATATGTGCTCTAAAAAGAAAGAAAGCAGGGAAGATAGCAGGGACTTTAGGGGCAGAATGGTGGTGCTATTTAAAATAAGTTGATGGAGGAAGACCTTCCTGAGAAGGTGGATGGCAACACTTGGAAAAGCCTCAAAGGAGAAGAGGGGAGAACGTTGGGAATGTCTCGGGGAAGAGAGCCGCAGAGGGAGGCACATCCAGTGAAAGGGCCCCATGTGGGATGAGCCTGTGTTGAGTCAAGACACAGCCAGGAGGCCCATGATCTCCCACAGTGGGAGCAAGGGAGGTGATTGGAGGACAGAAGGTGGGAGTGGTAATGGAGCAGGGAAGAGGGTTGGAAGATAGAAAATGTGGGACATTGTCAGCCATGTTGAAAGCTTTGGCTTTAACCTGAGTGAGATTGAAAGCTATTAGAAGATTTTGAACAGAAATGACTAATGTTTAATAGGATCACTCTCAGGCCCTACATTAATAGACTGAAGGGGCACGGTCTAGATATCAATTAGAAAGCTATTGCAGTAATCTCCTTGAGAGGTGATGATGGCTTCCATCAGGATAGTATCAGTGGAGGTAGAGAGAAATGCTCAGATGCTGGGCACATTTTGAAAGTGGAGTCATCAGGGTTTTCCGACAGATTGAATGGAAGGTATAGAGGAAGGGAATAGAGGAAGGGAAGAGTCAAGGATGACTCTAACATTTTTAGCCTGAGTGATTGGAAGAACTGAGTCATCATTAACTATATCGGGGAAGATACAGAAAGAGCCATTTATTTGAGGAGAGCAGAAATTGAATTTCAGCCATGTTATATTAGGGATACATAGCTACATGATCCAGCCTCTGTCCAACTCTCTGATGAGACCAGAGCCCTGGTGACAACTTCCTTGCAGCCTTGTGGGACCTGCAACAGGAGATGCAGCTAAGCAGTGTCCTGATTCCTGATCTACAGAAACCATGAGATAAATTGTTTTGTTCTAAGCCACCTAGGATTATGGTAATATCATTATACAAAAGAGATAACTAATGTAGTGAGTGTATTGTGTGATTGATTTGATTTGCCAAAGGATTTAATTGTTTTAAAGAGTGATCTTTCCAGTACATTCAAAATTTGATTTTATTTATCAAAATTAAATTTAAAATTTATAAAAATAATACATGGTATAAGGTGAGTTACACTTGTTTTAAAATCTAAACTTCCAGATTTACAGAGCTTTTGAAAATATTTTTTCTTTGGAAATTTCCATTGTATTCATTTTTTTCATGGTGCTTTTTAGAAAGAATATGTGGTTCTATAAGTCTGATTCTTTAATCTTGCACATATCATACTGGTTCACCCAAGCGTAACTAAAAGTACCAGGATAGATGTGGTATATAGTCCTGGAAAATTAATTTTACCTGACAATTTGGGGAAATGAAGATTTGAATTCTTATGACATTAAGATATTTTGAAACATACATGTGCAAGTAAATTGAGAAGATGGTAACTTATACATGTTAGACAATTCATGAGGAATGAGTGGAAATGTTGTTTGTTTTGAATTCTTAGGAAATCTGGTGCTCTTAACCCTCCTGGTAACCAAAGGGGTATGAGGATGAATGATGCTTGGCTGGTGTGTGCTGCTGTGTGGCATGCCAGAACAGGGACTGCAGTATCAGCATTCACAGACACTGGAGGCTGGCACAGGTAGAGTTTGGTTTTTGCTTTTTTGTTGTTGTTGTTGTTGAATGCACTTTTCACCACATAATCAAGTGACTTTTTAAGCATATAATTAGACCAGAAAGCCATTGGCCAACTTTAATCAGCCCAACTCTCTTGCCTTGACTATAATAAGCTGTTTAGTTGACAAGCTTGCAACTGTACTTCAATCTATTTCTTATTGCACTGATTTTGCCAATATCATAATGTCCTCTTTCCAGCAAATTTTGCTTTTTTTTCCTTCTTCACAAATTAGTGTCATTCTTTACCTTTTAAAAGGGAAATAACATTCAAAATTCTGTTTTCAAATGGGGACAGTAAGTTATGGCTAAAAACAGGGAGTTGGAAGCCTTCACTTGAACCCAGAGGAAATGCTGAAGATCAGACCAGATCAGAGGTCATCAAAGGGGCCTCTGAGGCTCACCAGAGAGTGCAGATGGGAGCACCTCTCAATCACTCCTGCAAAATCAGTCATCATGGTGGCAGTTGATGCCAAAATGGAGGATGTACTTTGATGCTTATTTAAAATGCTGTTTTAAATTTTGGTGAAAGACTAAGACACATGAGAAAGCCTATATCACTAGCTGCATAACACCCATAATTTAAAAATTAGTACTGTTAATTTTGAATAAAATACTTGTAAACTGAAAAGAGACGAGTCTCCATGAGGACCATACAATGAGAAGTACCATTAAATAAACAACTTACAAAAGTATATTGAGCCAACCTCATATAAGGTTAGTTACAGCAATTCTCTTTTAGGTTCTTCTCATTAAAAGGAGACCATGGGATGAAATCTTGAATCTGTATTGGGTCTCAAATGGCTGCTATGCTGAAAGAAGACAATTGTTAAAGAACCCTTTCATATGATGCACTTATACGTGCTCAACAGACGTATTTAAACAGCTGGTTGAGAGACTGGTGTTGACCTGGTTCCTTCTATTACAGATGGCTGGAGGCATGGGCATGAATAATATGCTTGTTTTATTCATCTCAGGTTATATTTATAATGATGTTGTCTGTGAAGACGCTAACTTAAAAGGAACTTTTGGCAACATAACTGGTGAAGACATTCTTAACAAGATTTATGAGATATTTAGCAGGCACTGTATCAGTTAACAAAAAAAAAAGTATGACCGTGTGCACAGATGGAGCTAAATCTGGAAAGGCAAAGCTGAGAAGAGGAATACCTTACACCAAGGCTGTGAGCACACCCAGGAAAAGACCAGCAGCCGCCAGATCTCTTACCAAGACACCTCACCTCAGGAAGTTTGTCACTATCTCAATGTGTTTGACTGGGGGTGCCGGGATACAAAATTATGACTTTTCTTTAAAAATTGCTTAAAATTCTCATTTTTAAAAAACACATTCGTCAGAAAACCAGAAATGTCTTTGAAAGCTGACTGGAATGCACAGATGTAGTCTGGCTTAGTCAAAGGAAAGTGTTCGTCAGAATTTATTTTTCCTAAATGGACATCAGGAGTGTAATATTGATGACTCATCAGCCTGCTTCATGTCACATTATCATCTTTAATTTACCCATAAACCATTTTTATGTTGTTTATTTAAATAAATATATATTTAAGTACATGTATTTTTATTTACATCTATCATCTATATATTTCCTTTTTTTTTTTGTCTTTTTGAGACGGACTCACTTGAGTCACTCAGGCTGGAGTGCAGTGGCTCAATCTCAGCTCACTGCAACCTCCACCTGCCGAGTTCAAGTGATACTCCCGCCTCAGCCTCCCGAGTAGCTGGGATTACAGGTGTGCGCTACCACACCTGAATAATTTTTGTGTTTTTAGTAGAGATGGGGTCTCACCATGTTGGCCAGGCTGATCTCAAACTCCTGACCTCAAGTGATCCACCGTCTGTGGCCTCCCAAAAGTGCTGGGATTACAGACGTGAGCCACTGTGCCCAGCCTGTGTTTTGTTTGGAGATGAGGTCTTGTGTTGTTGCCCAGGATGATCTCCAACTCCTGGACTCAAGCAACCTTCCCGCCTCACCCAGAAAATATATTTTAATAATGTGATGAACACCTATGAACTCACTGCCCAACCCAAGAACTAGAACAATAACCAATAGCTACCAATCAGCTTTTCTCTATCCCCTTACTCTGCCTCCCCTTCAGCATCCAAAATTGTATTGATTCTCTGCTTAAACAAAGCAAAAATCTAAAAAATTCACAAATATGCGTACCTAAAGCACGGCATTTGGTTTTGGTTGTAAAATTTATAAAACGTTTTTTATATTGTATGTAGTCTCAGTATTTCCTTTATTCACTCAATGTTGTTACTGAGCATCTTCAATTTCTTTCAGGTAGCTGTAGCTCACTTTCACTATGATATGACATTTTGTTGTGTGAACATACTGTGATTTATTATTCATTTTCCTCTCAATGTGCTTTTTGGTATAGGCATTTGGCTATTATAAATGTTCTTATACACATCACCTGTTCATGTGAAAGACTTTCTTCTGGGTTAAACTAGGGTTGCAGAGTATTAAGGTGTTTAGCTGAACGAAACAATGACTAACTGTTTTCAAAAGTGATTGTGTCAATTTACCTCCCCACCAGCAATGTGGATCATGTTGATCCACATCCTCTTCAAATCTTTGTATAAGGAAACTCATTAATTTTTGCCAGTCTGGTGGATGCAACCTGACATCTCATTGTGGTTTCGATTTTTATTTCTCTGATTTCTAATGAGATTGAACATCTCTTCATATATTTTTTGGTCACAGGTTCCCAAAGTTATCAATGTGTTGCCTCTAAGTTGCAAATTCATACTTCATTGCCCACTTTGTGACAATGGAGTCAGAATTTACTTTTCCTACATTTTAAAGATTTTTATTGATTTATTTTTTCCTAAATAATTTACTTTTCCTGAACCCTGTAGACTTTGTGTTCTGTCTTACCAGTATTTCTGTACTCCAAGATCAGAAAATATCCACTTCTGAATATTGGTAAATATATTATGTTTCAATTTTTTTCTCTCCCATATGATTAACAATTTTTTCCTAGCTTCTTTTATTCAAATGTTTTTCACGTGATCATTGTTTCTCTCTTACATATGGGAGAAATATACATATATGATATATATTCATATATAATATATAAATATACATTATGTATACACATACACAAAGTTCTACATTCATGGTAATGTTTCTGACTTTTTAATTTGTTTCATTAGTCAATTTGTTTATTTCTGTAGTTTTATTATATTTTATAGCTTTTAAAATATTTTAATCAAGGAGTAACATTCATATGCTGCACAAGATGCAGTAATCTAAAATGTACAGTTTAATAACTTTAACATATGCTTTCACTCGTAACCACCACTCATATTAAGTTATGAAACATGTCTATTAACTCATAAGGCTTCTTTTAGCCCCTTTTGTGTTTATATTCCATCTTTCAGATATAACTACTATTCAGATATGTTTCATCATAGATAAAATTTTCTGTTTTTAAATTTCATATAAATGGGAGCATACAATATATTCCCTTTTAAGTCAGCCTTCACTCACTCATTGTTGCAACATGTAGTAGTAGCTTATTATCTTTTATTGAGTAATGTATTTCATTGTACAAATATTCCACGATTTGTTTGTTTGTTCTCCTGTTGCTAGACATTTTGGCTATTTTCAGTTTGGGACTGGTGTGATAAAAAGGCTGCAGTGAGTGATAACATACATTCCTATTAAAGGACACATGCACACATTTCTCTTTGATACATACCTAGGAGTGGAATTTCTGTATCTAAGACTATTTGACAGTTTCTACTAATGTTAAACATACATTTTTGAAAATGTTTCTACTAATGTAACATTAGTAGAAACTGTCAAATGGTCCTATAGAAACAGTCTTATAGTCAAATAGAAAATGTTTCTACTAATGTTTAACATTAGTAGATAGTAGATAGTGATAGCTACTTATTAAGTCCTGATGTTTGGCAAGACAGATCCGTAACTTGGCTTCTTTATTCTTCTCCTACAAAACAGTCCTGATTATTTTGGACCTCTGCTCTTCCATATACATTTGAGATTTGGCATATTTCATCCCACAAAAAGCCTTGTGGAATTTTTACTGGAGTTACATTGACTCTATACATTATTTTAAGAACAAAATATGTTTATATATTTTGTCTTTCTTTTCATGAACATGTGGTATCTCTCTATTTAGTTAAAATTTTTTTTCAATAAAGTTTTATGATTGTATACATATGGGTCTTCCATTTATATTATTTTATCTTCTTAGGTACTCTGTAATTTTTGTTGCTATTGTGAATGATGCCCTTTTAAAAAGTAATTTGCTGGTTTACTGTTACTAGCTCATGAAAATGAAATTAACTTTGCATTTTTATATTAATCATATATCCAGTCACCTTGCTAAGGCATTCTATTACTTCTAATAATATGCCTGTAAATTCTTTTGGGCTTTTGGTGTAGACCATCATGTCTGCAAGTAATTAAATAATTTAAGCTTTATTTACTCTCTTCCCATCCTTAAGCTTTTAATTCTAAATTTTAAATTAATTTCTGGTCTTACTTTACTAGTTAGGACTTCTGATTCTAGACTGAAATGTAATAGTGGGCATCTTGTTCTTGTTTCTAATTTTAAACAGAAGACTCTAAAATTTCCCAGTTAAGTATATACTTTATCATAGGGTTTTGCCCCCCTAAAGAGCCTTCTTAGACTTTTCCCCCCAGTTGCCCCCTCCATGACATTTTAATGCCACTAATATAGTTTACCTCTTTATATACTACACCTGTGCTTTATATATTGAAAGAGCAAGGTTTTTTCACTCCAGTATCCCAGAATGACTCTTTTTTTTGCACTCTTAGAGATGATGTCATTCCTTCAATTCTTGCATTACAGGCATTTCTTTTTATTTCTAGAGTACTAACATTTCTTTAAACTTTAATTGATGTTAAAGCTTGTCAAATGTATTTCTAGTATGTTATACATTTCATTTGTTTTTCTACTTTAACATGGTAAATACAATGTATAGATTTTCTAACACTTAATGATGTTCCAATTCATGGGTGTAACAACTTCTTTATATACCACTGGATTTAGTTTATTAATATATATTTGTGAGTTAAACATGCCAGTGATTTTCTTTTCTAGGCTATCTCTGTCTTTTTTGTTTTTTCTGAGATAGAGTCTCACTCTGTCACCCAGGCTGGAATGCAGTGGTGAGATCTTGGCTCACTGCAACCTCCGCCTCCCAGGTTCAAGCTATTCTCACACCTCAGCCTCCCGAGTAGCTGGGACTACAGGTATGCACCACCATGGCCGGCTAATTTTTGTATTTTTAGTAGAGATGGCGTTTCACCATGTTGGCCAGTCTGGTCTCAAACTCCTGACCTCAAGTGATGCACCCGCTTCTGCCTCCCAAATCTGTCTAGTTTTGATATCAAAGTAATGAAATGAGTTGGAAAGTATCCCTTCTTCTAAAAAATTAAGGCTTTTGTTTGAGATCATTGAAGATTCACATGTAAGACATAAAACAGAGAGGTCTCCGATACTCTTTATCCAGTTTCCCTCAATGATAACATCTTGTAAAACTATGCTACAATATCACAACCAGAATTTTGACATTGATGCAGTCAAAATACAGAACATTTCCCTCACCAAAGGGATCCCTTAGGCTGCCCTTTTATAACCACATCTACCACTCTCCCACCTCCTTCCCCCAACCCTAACCTCGGGCCACCACTAATCTTTATTCCATTGTTTTGATTTTGTCATTTTGAGAGTGTTATCTATAATTCTCTGGACATTCATTCAAATCATTGAATCTATCAATATTTCATTCCTTTTTATTGCTGAGGAGTATCCACAGTTTGTGTGTATTACAGTTTGTTTAATTAGTCACCCATTGAAAGACATTTGGATTGTCTCCAGTTTTTCACTATTAGGAATAAAGATGTGGTAAACATTTGTTTTCAGCCTTTTGTGTGAGCATAAGTTTTCATTTGTCTGGGATAAATATTCAGGAGTGCAATTGCTGGGTCATATAGCAGTTACCTTCTAAATTTTTATATTTTTTATTTTATTTTTTAAATTTTGAGACAGTGTCTCACTCTGTTGCCCAGGCTGGAGTGCAGTGGGGTGATCTCGGCTCACTACAACCCCTGCCTCCCGGGTTCAAGCGATTCTCCCACCTCCGCCTCCAAAGTAGCTGGGATTACAGCCACACACCATCATGTCCAGCTAATTTTTGTATTTTTGTAGAGATGAGGTTTCACCATGTTGGTCAGGCTAGTCTTGAACTCCTGACCTCAGGTGATCCGCCTGCCTCAGCCTCCCAAAGTGCTGGGATTACAGGTGCGAGCCACCATGCCCAGCCTAAGTTTTTAAAGCAACTGCTCAAATGTTTTCTAGAGTGACTAACATTTTGTACTCCTGTGAGCAATGAATGAATGATATGTAGTTTCTCCACATCCTTGACAGCATTTTTGGCTGTAAATTTTGCATATTGTAAATATTTATTTTACTAAATAATATATAGCAAATTTTATTGATAATATGTTGGTAATATTTTATTTATAATATGTAAATAAAATTAACATTTTATTTATAATATGTAAATAAAATTAACATTTTATTTATAATATGTAAATAAAATTAACATTTTATTTATAATATGTAAATAAAATTAACATTTTATTTATTTTATCTATTGTGATAGGTGTGTAGCAGTATCTCATGGGAATTTTAGTTTGATTTTCCTAATGGTTACTGATGTTAAATGTGTTGTTATATGTTTATTTACCATCTGTTTAGTCTTATCAGCAAAATGTCTGTTCATGTCTTTTGCTCATTTCCTGTTAGGATTGTCTGTGTTTTTACTAGCAGTTTGACAGTTCTTTTGATATTCTCAACATTAGTCCTTTGTTGGATACGTGATTTGGAAATGTTTTCTTCCCTTGTGTAGTTGTCTTTTTTATCTTTTTAACAAGATCTTTAGTGTAGCAAAAGTTTTGCTGGAGTATAATTTATCAATTTTTTTCTTTTTTGGGGTCATGCTCTTTGATATCAAGTCTAAGAATGCCTTGCCTAGCCTTACATCCTGAATACTTTCTCATATAGAATTTTTTCTAAAAGTCTTAGAGTTTTACATTTTACAGTCCATCATCTATTTTGAGTTACTTTTTGTATGAGTTGTGATGTTTAGATTAAGGTTCATTTTCTTTACTTATGAATGTCCATATGCTCCAGCACTGTTTGTTGAAAAGGTTGTCTTCCCTTCCATTGAAAGACTTTATTTCTGGGTTTTGTATTTAGTTCCATTGACACAAGTGTCCATTCCTCTGCCAACGCCACACCCTGAATTAATGTAGCTATCTAATAAGACTTGAAATTGGGTACACTATTTATTCTCACTTTCTTCTTGTTTTTCAAAATTGTCTTAGCTATTTTAGTTCCCTTAACCTTTCAATATATGCTTTAGAATAATATCACTATACCTATAACATATTTTGCTGGAATGTGATTTTTTTTGCCACATTTGAGAAGTATTTCTTCATTATTTTTAGAGCACTTTTCCAGCCCTGCTCCCCATCTCCTCTCTTTGCTGGACACTGCTGACACAAATGTCAGATCTTTTGCTGTAGTCCCACAGGTCACTTGGGCTCTATTCTTTTTTTTTTTTTTTGAGATGGAGTCTCACTCTGTTGCCCAGGCTGGAGTGCAGTGGCACGATCTTGGCTCACCACAACCTCTGCCTCTTGGGTTCAAGTGATTCTCTGCCTCAGCCTCCTAAGTAGCTGGGATTACAGGCATGCACTACCATGCCCGGCTAATTTTGTATTTTTAGTAGAGATGAGTTTTCTCCATGTTGGTCAGGCTGGTCTTGAACTCCTGACCTCAGGTGATCTGCCCACCTTGGCCTCCCAAAGTGCTGGGATTACAGGCATGAGCCACCATGCCCAGCCTCTATTCATTTTTTTTCAGTCTATTTTCATTCTTTTGTTCAGATTGAATAGTATCTATTGTTCTGTCTTCAAGTTCACTGACTGTTTCCTTTCTTCCCTCCATTCTGCTGTTGAATTCATCCATTGGGTCTTGTGTTTTAGCTATTGTATTTTTAAATTTTAAAATATCCATGGGTTCTTGTTTATATCTTATATTTCATTTGCTTGTTGCATTCTTGTAATCACTGGTTGAAGCAGTTGTATGATGATGGCTTTAAAATCCTTGTCAGATCATTCTCACATTTCTGTCATCTTGGTGTTGGCATCTATTGATGGTCTTTTGAGATTTAGTTGAGATCTTCCTGGTCCTTGATGTGATAAATGATTTTCCATTGAAACCTGGATATTTGGGTATTATAAAACTAAATATTATTTAAGCTTTCTGTTTTAGGTGGGGCCAGGAAAGGAGGGGCACTTCTTTGGGACTACAGATGCAGGTAAAAGTTCAATTCCCATTCAGGCTTCATTGATTCACTAAGGGTGGTGTTCAGTGTTTCTGTAGGGTGGGATGGTTGTTCCACCCTCCCACTAGGTCCTCTCTGACACCACTCCAGTGGAGGTGGGGGCTGGTATCACCTCATGACTCTTAGGTGGTAATCCAGGCTCCTCACAGTCTCCACTGACACCATAAGGGGGGATTTTGTTACCAGCTGGAGAGGATGAAAGTCTTGGCTGCATACTGGGCCTCCTCTGACACCACCTGGAGGGAGAACTGGAGAGTCTATTTACAGCCTCAAAAGAGTGGAAGTCTAGGCTGCCCACCCAAGCTTTGCTGGAATGGGTAGGGAGAGGGCCAGTTGTTCCTGTGGTTTCAGCTGAAATAGAGCAGTTATCCTCTCTAGGGTTTTTGGCTTGCTATATTGCACCTTTCCTGCTTTTAAAAGAGCACAAGCTTTTGTTGAGGCTATTTTTTCTGTGTCCATTGGCATTTTCAGGTTTCCAGCCTTTTCAGCTCCAAATATGGGCTATGTAAGGCAAAAAGGATACCCAGGGACTCCTCACCACTCTGCCGTTCTTTTGGTACTGATATCCCTCACTGTCTCAGAAACTTCTGGGTTTTTTGGCTGTAAAATTCTAGTTGTACTTAGCAGAAAAAAAAATACAGAAAACACATCACCTCCATCTTCTTTTTAAAAATTGATTTCTACTTTTCCAGAAAATAGGAGAGGTAGGAACACATCCCAAATCATTCTACGAGACCAGTATTACCTTGATAGCAAAACCAAAGACATCGCAAGAAAAGAAAGAGACCAATATTCATTATGTACATAGATGAAAAATCCTCAACAAAATACTTACAAACTAAATCCAACAATATAAAAAATTGATTATGCACCATGACCAAGTGGAATTTATCCTAGCAATGCAAGGCTGTTTCAACATCTGAAAATCAATCCCTGTAATATATCATATTAATAGCAGAAAGGGCAAAAGCCACATGCTCATCTCAATAGGCACAGAAAAAGCACGGGACAAAGTCCAATACATTTTCACATCAAAATTCTCAAAATAGTAGGAATAGAAGGGAACTTTCTTGCCTGATAGCGGGTATCTGTGAAGAACTCGCTGCTAACATACTTAATGGTGAAGAACTGACCACTTTCCCTGTAATATCAAGAATAAGACAAGGATGTTTATTATTGCCACTTCTAGTGCACATCTTAACAGAGGTTCTAACAAGCACATTTTGGCAATAAAATGAAATAAAAGACTTCAAAATTGGAAAGAAATAAGTAAATCTGTATTTGCAGAAGACATGATCTCGTATATAGAAAATCCTAAAGAATCCACTAAAAACTATTCATATAAGTTCAGCAAAGTTGCAGGGATTCAAGTTTAATATATAAAAGTCAATTCTATTTGTATATACTAGAAATAAATAATCAAAAAATGAAATTAGAAAATAATTCCTTGTATAATAGTATCAAAATAATAAAATACACAGGAATAAATTTAGCAAAAAATAGAAATATTTAAACACTAGATACAAAACATGAAGAAAAGAAGTTAAAGAAGACCTAAACAAATGGAAAGACATCTCATGTTTATGGATTGAAAGACTTAATATTATGAAAAATGGAAAGTTCCTCAAATTGAAATATAGATTGAACATAATTCCTATCAAAATCTTAGCTGTCTTTTTTTTTTTTTTGCAGAAATTGACAAGCTGATCCTAAAAATCACATGAAAATGTAAAGAATCCAGCAATCTCTTGGAAAAGAAGCCAAAACAATATTGGAGAAGAAAAACAAAGTTGGAAAACTCACACTTCCTGATATCATAACGTAATACAAAGCTACAGTAATTAAGGCTATTTGATTATCTGGTATAAAGATAGACATATAGATCAATGCAGTAGAATTTAGAATTCAGGAATAAACCTATTTATCTATGGATAATTAATTATCAACAAACACACCAAGACAATTGGGGAAGCAATAGTTTTTTCAACAAATGGTGTTGGGGCAATTGGATCACCACATTTAAAGAATGAGTGTATTAACACCATATAGAAAGCTGACTTATATCAGATCAAAAACTAAATATAAGAGCTAAAACTATAAAAACATTAGAAGAAAAAAATGTGTAAATATTTGTGACCTTGGATTGGGCAACAGTTTCTTGAATATGACATGAATTGTACAAGCAAACAGAGAAAAAAATAGTTAAATTGAACATCAAAATTAAGTACTTTTTGTACTTCCAAAGATACTATTGAGAAATTGAAAAGATTTTCTACAGAATGGGAGAAAATATTTGAAAATCATATATCTGACAGGAGTTTAGTATACAGTTTATATAAAAACTCTTACAACTCATAGATAAAAAGACAAAGAACCCAATTAAAGTATGGGCAAAGGATTTGAATAGATATTTCTCCAACGAAGGCATAAAAATAGCTGATTAGCACATAAAAAATGTTCGATATCATTAGTCATTAGAGAGATGCAGATCAAAACCCCAATGAGTTTCACCTCACACTCACTATGATGGCTGAAATTTAAAAAGTCTGACAATGAGAAGTGTTGGTGAGGATGTAAAGAAATTGGAACCTTTATACGTTGTTGGTGGGAGTGTAAAATGATTCAGCCACTGTAGAAAACAGTTTGGCAGGTCCTCAAAAAGTTACAGTTACCAAATGACCCAGCAATTTCATTCCTAGGTATATAGCCAAGAGAATTGAAAACATCTCCACACAAAAACCTGTACACCGACATTCAAAGCATCATTATTCATAATAGTCAAAAAGTGGGGACAACCCAAATTTTCATCAACAGATGAATGGCAAACAAAATGTAGTAGGTCTATACAGTGGAATATTACTCAGCTATAAAAAGGAATGTGGTACTAATATATGCTGTAAGACGAATGAACCTTGAAAACGTAAGGCTAAGTGAAAGAAGCCAGACACAAAAGGCCACATACTGTATGATTCTATTCATGTAAAATGTCCAGAATGGGAAACTCCTAAACAGAAAGTAGATTAGTGGTTGTCAGGGACTTGGAGAGGGGAAAACAGGGAGTGGCTGCTGATGATACAGGTTTTGGGGATGATGAAAACGTTCTGGAATTAGATCGTGGTGATTGTTGTAAAATTTCTGAATATGCTAAACACTACTGAATTATACACTTTCATGAAGTGACTTCTATGGTATGTTAACTATATCTCAAAAAATCATGAGGGAAAAAAATTGGTCTCTGTAGCTTTAACCTTTTAAATATTGGCATGCTCTCATGTCCCTTGGTGTCCCTCCTTCCCCTTGGTTTGAAGAAATTGTCTAGACTTTTAATTGGGAATTTTTATGGATTCATTTTACTTTTTATTTTTTGAAGTCTTCATCCTATTCCCCATATGCATATTTTGCTAGATGTAATGCCAGGAAAGAACTCAGGATTAGCCCTAATGTGTAAGTTTGTGCTATCTCAGGTTAGTTTAAGGAGAGGAATCTCTAGGGGTGAAAGCCACATGCACCAAAACCCAGTTATCACCCCTATTTACTCTCACCTCATCATGCAACTCTTCAAGTCAGAGCTTCATCTTTCTTTTCTTTTTCTTTTTGAGACAGAGTTTTGCTCTTGTTGCCCAGGCTGAAGTGCAATGGTGTGATCTCGGCTCACCGCAACCTCTGCCTCCCAGGTTCAAGCAATTCTCCTGCCTCAACCTCCAAGAGTAGCTGGGATTACAGGCACGCGCCACCACACCCAGCTAATTTTGTATTTTTAGTAGGGACGGGGTTTCTTCATGTTGGTCAGGCTGGTCTTGAACTCCCAACCTCAGGTGATCCGCCACCTCGGCCTCCCAAAGTGCTGGGATTATAGGCATGAGCCACCGCGCCCGGCCAGAACTTCATCTTTAAAGTCCCAATGAGCTGTGCATTGCAAGGGTACTCTCCCTAGGTTGAACTCTGGGGGTGTCAAGGAGAGTGGGTGAAGGAATGAATGCTCACAGCCTATCAGACCCAACCTGTTATTAAGTCTTCATTCTAAGGGGCTTTTAAAGGAGTGAAGAAACTGCTGTGACTTGTGCCAAATTCTCAAAACCTTTTGACCTCAAGTCAGAGGTATTTTTACCGTTATGCAGACGTCGGGCTCTTGAATGCAGCCCCATTGCCCAAGTTCGATTGATCCAGTATCTCACAATGTTTTGCTACTAACCAATGAGCCTTGAGGAAACTTGCTTGTTTTCCCTACTGGTAATTGAAAATACTATTATCGTGTGAAGCAACATGGATATATTATGAAATAGAGTGCAAAAATTGTGAATTTTGAAGACAGAACACTTAAATTGCAGTAAGCCATTTTAGTCTAAACTGACTCTAGACCTGTTAAGGTCATTTCCTCTTGGCTTGAAAATATATTTTTGGTAAAACTATTTGACAAGCAGTGTCCTAATTCAATAACCTACCATCCCTAGCTTGACACTGTAGCTGAAGCTGAGTGTTATCGTGTGTTAGCAAGACGTTAAGCTCCTGTACACTAATTCCTGAAAACGCCATTGTATTTTTGGAACCGCACTGTGTTTTTGCTTGATTTAACTTGATGTTCTTTCTCAGTGAGTAATTTTTACGGTTCCTGTTAAAAAAAAATACCAAGTTGTCTCATTTGCTGTGGCCATTTGATTGTAGTTCCTGATGTAATCTCTAGCACAAAGGTCCCATTGAAGAGTTTATTTTGGTTTCTATATGTGGGTCAATCACATAATGCAGTTTACTGTGTGAATTTTGAAGAATTCCAATCCTTCTAATAGTGCTTGGAAATATGAGTACAAATATTGGGCTTTAATGCATTGAAAGGTGTTGTAGGAGGCAAACAACATAGAAATTAGGGTTTTGACACATTTTTCAAGGAAGGGGCTTGAAGGAGGAGGTGTAGTGGCAGGCATCTCTGGAGAACACCACTGACTAAAATAAAAAAAAAAATTTTCTCCAAGTTTCCCATCTGTTACATACTGGATTTTTCCTGTAAATATCAAGTTTAATGAAACATACATCCTGAATACATTGAAGGGGAAATAACAATCACCAGCTCCTGCCTGGTTAAATGTTGACTCTAATAAATGAGTTGCCTGCACAGCTGTTCAATTTTATAATTTCTCATGGTGGCTAGTTCCTCATTTCCATCTTTGAAATGCTTTTTAAAAATCCTGGAAAGAACATTTAGTTTTTAAATTGAGGAAGATTAGTGATAATCTCATTAGCAATCTGGATGGTAATTTTCATTTAGTGGGTGCCTTCTCTATGAATCTTGGGAAATTCTGAGAATTCATTGTTGCTAAACTTTTTGCTAAAAATATCCTTCCTAAATGGAAAAGTCTGTGTCATGCATGCTAGTGTGAATGTGGGCTCGTGAAGGAACTGGCAGCCTAGATAGATACCCTGAGAGTGATGAGGTGGTGTGTATCAGTCAGTGTTTACCACAGTAATGCTGCATAACAAACCACCCCCAAAGTCTGGACCATACAATGAAAGCATTTATTTCTGGCTTGTGTATATATGAGTCAGCTTGTCTGGGCTCAGCTAGATTTGGCTGCAGGCCTTGAGTTCAATTTAGATCTGTTTCAAGCATCTTATTTTTCTGAGTCAAGTAGGCAACTCTGCAAGGCATGTTCTTCTCACGTTAATGTCAGGGTGCAAGAGGACAAGCCTAATCATGCCAGTGCATTATATCATACCCCACTGGCCAAAGCAGACATGTGGCTAAACCCAAAGATTAGCCAAATTCTGCCTATAGTGGGAGGA
This sequence comes from Homo sapiens, assembly GCF_000001405.40. Taxonomy (NCBI): domain Eukaryota; kingdom Metazoa; phylum Chordata; class Mammalia; order Primates; family Hominidae; genus Homo; species Homo sapiens. The sequence goes on along the minus strand of NC_000001.11, from coordinate 242,726,160 downwards.
ACTGCAAAAGCCACAGGACAAAATGTATGGATAGTAGAAAGGGCAAAGAATTGGAGTGAAAAATTCCATCGACCACATGCCGCTTCCCTTGGAATGCATCCAATGATAATCAAATAAATTTTAAAATTGCTTATCATGAAGTTACAGCACGTGCACACCCTCTTGTCCTTCTTGCAGTGATAAAATCTACTAGCTGTGGTGTAGTAGTAATTTTTAACTATTCCATCCTTTTTACTTTCTAAAGCACCAGAAGCTTGTTTTAAAACAATTTTATGTAGACCACGATTTATGAAATGAATAATGGTGGAGCTGTACCGGTGGGAAGGCCAAGAGAGGGAGGAGTCGGTAATAGGGTGGTCAGGCAAAATATAGGATGCCCAGCTGAATTTGGATTTCAGACAATGAATAATTTTCTAGTACGGGTGTGTCCCATGATGTCCTTTGTTTTTTCTTTTCCCTATTCCTCCTCCTCCTCCTTCTGCTAAATCTGGCAGCCATAAATGAGAACAACACATAACGTGTCCATTCCCCCTCCTCCGTTTGTTTGTTTGTTTGAGACAGAGTCTCACTCTGTTGTCCAGGCTGCAGTGCAGTGGCATGATCTCGACTCACTGCAATCTCTGCCTCCTGTGTTCAAGTGATTCTCCTGCCTCAGCCTCCCAAGAAGCTGGGATTACATGTGTGTGTCACCATGCCTGGCTTATTTTTGTGTTTTTGGTAGAGATGGGGTTTCACCATGTTGGCCAGGCTGGTCTCAAACTTTTGACCTCAGGTGATCCACCCGCCTTGGCATCCCAAAGTGCTAGAGTTACAGGCGTGAGCCACTGCACCCAGCCACACCTCCTCCTTTACTACCTCCTCTAGTCACATGCGCCTGATGCCCCTGACCTGCCCAGATACAGCCACGCTTCTCTCCTTCTCTGAGCTGTGGAGACTGCAGGTTTCTAGACCTTAACTTGTCTTCCTCTGGCTCTCCCATGGAAAACACAGTTCAGAAATTCCTTTCTCCCACAGTGCCTTCTGGTCCTATCCTGTGATTCCTTCAGAAAAACTGACGCTGGACTGAAGACTGACTCTGGAAGAGCAAACCAGAGACTGTTGGAGACTCTGCCAGGGCTAGATCATGGAGTAAGCTCTGCAAAAGAAGCCACATAAAATCGTTTGCAAAAAGAGTTCTTACACTTAAAAGAAGAATTACAGGAAGGAATGATTGAAAATTCCATGCCACGATGGTTTCTGATCAGTGTAGTGATTGATTTCTTATGGAGCACCTGAAAGATTCATTTTTGCTCAAGGTAGAGGCATAATGGGCAGAGGCTTCTTCTGCCCCAGCACCCCAATTCCCCCTCCACTGGACTCCGCCCTGCAGCAGTTCTGCCGTCATGGAGCTCATATACTGAGGTTCTTGATGACCTTGTTTGATCATCAAGTTCTTTGTGGACCAGGCAAGCACTTGAGGTAGCTCTTCTTGCCCTTGAGAAGCTTGGTTTCTCTGACCGTCTGTCCACACTGTCTCTGCAGAACAATGAGCGCCTTACATTTCGACAGGGAAAGTCAGCACTGTTAAAACTTATGTGATTGATTTTATTCCTTCAACGCAGGGATTTAAATTCTGCGAAGTCCGGGGAAAACCTCAGGCCATACTGAAATGGAAGTCGCTTTAGATTTATGTCTTTGCAAATCATAAACAGTGGGCACATAGAAGCCTATAGATTGTTGTATTAAAACATGACGTCTTCAGCAGCATTCAAGGCTTCCTGAAGACTTTAATGAGTGGGGAATATTTGATCTGCTCTCATGCCGACATCAGCAATGAGCTCAAAAGTTCTGAGAAGATGCAGTTAAGTGCTTGAGCTTTCGTGGATTTAATTTTCCATATTGAAAGAAGTCCAGAATGTAGAAGTCTCAGGAAGACATGGGTGAAGGCGTTGCTGCAGTTAGTTCTGGTGCTGGGGGACAGAGAAGGAAGAAGGGAAGCTTTGACTGCCCTCACTTGTTTGGCAGGAGCAGGCTGAAGCCACAGGCACGGGGCTGTTCTTTGGCTTGATGTGTATCCATCCAAATGCTAAATAATGCAGTGATTTTATTCCTTTACTTCAAACAGCAACTGCAAAGGAAAAAAGCAAAAATCCTTTTCATGTCTCAGAAATGACAGAAAACTCTATCTGCTTTGGAAATAAAAGCCTGCACAATAAATGGAAATATTTGAGCAGAGTAAGAAGGCTTCAATGAGAAACTAGAAAACTCGATCCGCAGTGAAAATAGATAGTGTGATAACTGCCACTTTAAATGCATATTGGAAAAAAAAAACCCAAAATGATTGTTCTTCTTAATGTCTTGCCTTTTAAGGTCAGAAGATCTTATTTTATTCACAATAGGAGACACTGCAACGCAGTGTTGTTATTAAGTGGCAAAGGTGGGGTCTTTGTTTTGCAGAAGATCACAAAGCACCAGGGGCCATCGGCTGGCAATTTGTACAACCTTATTAGATGGCCCTGATATTTTCTACAAGAAAAGAAGTTACGGACATGCCTGTAAAGGGCTTTGCGCACATGAAACGCTCTGGAGAGGCAAAGCTCACTTACTGTTGTGTGTGCATCAGCGTGGCATCCTCTCTGGACGAAGACAAAAGCACAAAGCTCTGCTGCCTGGAAACCAAACAGTGCTCAGTAGCAGAATACAATTTCATGGCATGACTTAGGTGAAAAATGCTCGGGAGATTCTGTTGTAAAAGTAGGTTGGAACTGCAGTTACAACATTCAGGTTGTGAACATTTTATCCTCTTGCAACCTATTTGACACATTGGGTGCTTCTAATTATTGTAAGCACCACAAGGCTAATGTAGGATAAATTGTGCTCTCTGCAAGGTGACACATCTGACAAAGGCACAATGGTCATGCGGAAGGAATGAGAGAACAAGAGAGAGAGATATCAGTGGACATTTTTATGTATTGCTTATAATAGCACTGCTTCTGGCAGATTAGCGATGCTTTTGTGTAGCTTTTATATGCAGAATAGACATGCTTTCATATTTGATCACTCACTGGAGATACCAGTGATGAATAGGTGTTTGTCAAAGTGGAAGACAGAACTAATCTCATCTGCTCACTTTCTGGACATACATTATTTAATATAAATTTGCCCATAGGCACTTTTACACCATCCCCACATTTTGCTAGAATTAGTTTTGCCCAAAGGCCCCTAGCTAAAAAAATGTACAAGCTTGGACCTGAATCCAGATCTGTATGAATGGAAAACCCTCTCTCAATTCCACTCCATGGTCACCAAGGAAAGAATGGCCTTAATCTCCATGTACACAGCCATTTACCAGAGCGTCTGTAAAACATGGTAACTCACCTTTTATAGGTCCAGTTTTAAAATATTTTTTTCAGTGCAATGACACAGTAGTGGTCGTGGTTTAGTTGTGACCACATGTGTATCCTTCCAGTGGCACTTTGCTCATTCTCTTTTGACCCTGAAGCAAAGAAATAGTTCCTTCAAAATTAATAGTTTTGCAGAATCTTACCAAAGAATGGAATCCTGTGATATCCACTGGGAAAAGCCCTATGCTAGGTATCTGGGGACTCAGGTTCTGGGCCTGCCTTGCCGTCACCTAACATGCAACTTTTAACAACCGATTCCTCTTCTATAACTTCCTTGTTGTAAAATGAGGACAATAAGTGGAGTCCAGTGAACAAACCCCCCAGGTCAGCATCTCTAGGTGTGGATGAGGAGCCAAGGCCGGGGCAGGGGGCAGGGGCAGGGCCCGTGCTGGGGGTCCCATGAGTTTGTGGGATGCAGCCTGTTTTAGGAAGGCCTTTCAGATGCTCATGGGCCTTCCCCGCTGGCTGAAGTCAGGCTGTTCTCTGAGCAAACTTTAGGGCAATGCTTATAACTAGAGCCACGTAAGGCATCATTAGAAGCAGCATTCTGCTCCATTCGGCTCCTGGTGTGATAATTCTCCTGTGCAATGTATCTGCCTGATGATAAGTGTTCCTATTAGTAATTCTCTGAAGATCCAGTTTGATCAAAGTTGCCCTGAATTTTTGTGATTCTATTTTTACTAATTGTTGGGGAAGGAAAGAGAGGTTCAGATTCTACCAGGTATCACAGGTATCACCAGGGTTATAACTGAGTGTGTGTGTGTGTGTGTGTGTGTGTGTGTCTATGTGCATGTATATTTTCTGGAGTAAATTTTCAAGTAAAAAGAAAAGAGTCTTGTGTTTGTGAGTGTATGTGTCTGACTGTGTGTGTGTGTGTGTGTGTGTGTGTGCATGTGTCAGAGAGAGAGACAAGAAAAGAGAGAGAAAAAGAAAAAATGAGCAAGCCTTGGTAGAGCCCTCCTTCTGGCCTGGATTCAAACAAAAGATTTCCCGAAATCACTAAAAACAATTTGGAGTAAAGCAGAGGGCAGGCTGCTGTCTAAGGACGGTTCTGTACTTGCTGATTTGTCTCCGAATATACAAGTAGAGAGATGGGATGTGTGGTTTAACATCTGACTGCTTGAGGCCATCCAAAGCAACACTCTCTGGTAGAATGTTCTGGGAGGAGCGAAACGTCCCCTACGGTAACCACTAGCCAAATGTGGCTACTGAGCTCTTGAGATGTGGCTAGTCTGACTGAAGAATTGAAGTTCTAAAAAATTTAATTTATGTTAACTGAAGTTTAAATCTAAATGGCCACAAGGATCTAGTGACTACCGTATAAAACAGCACAAAGGAAGAGGGACACGTGTAGATACTGAAAGTGCCGCTAGTTGAGGCCTCCTTGCCCTTGTCCAGCCAGGTGACCTTGCAGTTTCCATCTGCCCTCCGCTTTCTCAGGTGGACTGTAAGAGGACATCTAGTCTGAAACCCATTCAATTCCAGAAGCCTGAAAGTAGAGTAGAAGGTTGAAGACTGGAGAAGAAAAATCTGACAAATATTTGTTGCTTCTCATCTTTTTCTTTTTCTTTTCTTTTTTTTTTTTTTCTTTCTAGACAGAGTCTCACTCTGTCACCCAGGCTGAAGTTCAGTGGTGCAATCTCGGCTCACTGCAACCTCTGCCTCCTGGGTTCAAGTGATTCTTCTGCCTCAGCCTCCTGAGTAGCTGGGATTACAGGTGTGTGCCACCACGCTTGGCTAATTTGTGTATTTTTAATAGAGATGGGGTTTCACCATGTTGGCCAGGCTGGTCTCGAATTCCTGACCTCGGGTGATCCACCCACCTTGGCCTCCCAAAGTGCTGGGATTACAGGCATGAGCCACCGTGACTGGCCTGAGACTGGGTAATTTATAAAGAAAAAGAGGTTTAATGGACTTATAGTTCCACGTGGCCGAGGAGGCCTCACAGTCCTGGCAGAAGGCAGAAGGCAGAAGGCACATCTTACATGGTGGCAGACAAGAGAATGAGAGCCAAATGAGAAGGAAAACCCCTTATAAAACCATCAGATCTCCTGAGACTTCTTCACTACCACGAGAACAATATTGAGTAAACTGCCCCCATGATTCAATTATCTCCCACTAGGTCCCTCCCACAATGTGTAGGAATTATGGGAGCTACAATTCGAGATGAGATTTGGTTGGGGACATAGCCAAACCGTATCACCACCTGTCTGTTTCCCAGCAAGGATCCACTTTCTGGTCTCTTGGTGGTCCACATGCTGGCCCCCGAGCCTGGGACACTTCTTACTACTCTTTCCGTCCTTCTCTTTAATGCTCCAACACCTGTCCTCCCATAGCAGTGTAGAAACCACACCTGCTGTCACTTTCCTGGGGCCCTGGGAGGTGGTGGAGCACAGTGGTTCAGAGCACAGGCTCTGCAGTGAGACGGCTGTAAGCCCATTACTATCATCTACCTTCCGCCAGGTCCGGTGGTTTTTCCTTTGTGCTCTCGTGGTACACTGGCTGTGACCTTTTAATAACTCCTCCAGATTACATTGTAGTAACCTGTTTTCTTTTCTGTCTCCTCCACTAACCCAGGGATTATTAGACCGCAAATCACGACATCAACTTAGAGGGTTGTGATTAGCATTAAAAAAATGCGTAAAATAGAGTGGAAGATATCAATTCATTTTATGGCTTCTTGATTGTTTTGGGAAATCATTGTTTTATTTTTACACACATAAATACATATAAATTTGTGTGTGTGCATGGAGTCATAGTGCAGAATTATTTATTATTGTGAATTGGGATTCTAAAAGGCTTTTAAAAACATTTCATTAGGCTAAAATTTCTGGAACGTCGGGACAGAGGCATATTCATGGCTTGTATCTCTAGTACAACAATGGCGGAAGCACTAACACAATGTATGAGCCACTGACCTGAGTAAATAAATTCATGTTGAGGTGGGCAGGGTGAGGGAGGCAGGATGAAGTCCAGGGGAAGGCAGGCAGGCTGCCAGCAGGGGTCACAGGACCGGGAGCTTTGCCAGTGAGCCCAGCCCAGGCAAGCACTATTTCCAGAGGCTTCAGGACTAAGTGTGAAGATCATGTTGGTGTTGATTGAGGGGGGTCAGTGGAAACAGATGGGCTGAGCAGTGTTTAAAGTGAGCGCTGAGGGTGAAGTCAAAGTTCGAATCAAGCTAGATTGGGGGCTCAGAGATTCACGTTTGCCTCGACGAAGACAAAGCCATGATTTGAGTGTCAGGACTCAGGTTCTGCCTTGTCACTTCTGACCATACCTTGTCCTAGAGGAACCTGGTGGCTTCTCTCCATATGACCCTCTCTCCCATCCCTTTCCTCTCCGCGGTACCCTCATTTGTAGACTCTTAGTGCCTCTCTCTCGTCAAGCCAATTCTGAGTTAGGCCCCAAGGTGGGAAAAACTCTTCAGTTATTTCCTGAATCCCATTATTTGTCGGTTACAGGACCCATTTCCTAAAGCCCAGGGTCACGGTTCCCCAGGTCATTCTGAGTCCTGCTTCCTGTCTTAGTGTGCCAGCCCTGTACCAATCCCTCCCTCCCCATCTTTTGTTGGCCAAGGGAGGTCTTTCACTAGAATCTCAAAGTATGGCAGGCCAGCAGGGGGAGAGTTCAGCCCTGGAAGCCGGCAGACAGACATCCTTTCCAAGGTAGCGGAGCACAGCCACACATTCCCACCGCTACCAAGAGAATCCTCTGCACAACAGAATGTTGTGAACTTTTCATGTGCATCATTCCTTTGCCACTCAGGTCATTATAAAATTTACACACAGATGGCCGTGGCTGGTGATTCCAAGAGAGGGGCTTTTTACAGCAAGTATGTTTATACTCAGGATTTGTTCTTTTGATGCAGCACTTATTTAGGAGGGAATCCCAGGTGTTGTCTTTTAGGTGAATGAACTGTCTGATGCTGGTCAACAATGCTAACAGGTGGGCTCTTCCTGGGACAGTGGCTGAGCTGGCTCTGGCGCTAAGGCTGTAAATGGGCAGCCACTTCTCTGGTAGTGAATGCAGAAAAAATAAAAGGAAATAAAGACCAAGCTGAAGTTCCTGAAATCTTTTCAAGATATCACTATCTTTTTTTTTTTTTCTTTGAGATGGAGTCTCACTCTGTCGCCCATGCTGGAGTGCAATGGCGTGATCTCGGCTCTCTGCAACCTCCGCCTTCCAGGTTCAAGCATTTCTCCTGCCTCAGCCGCCCAAGCAGCTGGGATGACAGGCGCCCGCCACCACGTCCAACCAATTTTTGTATTTTTAGTGGGGTGGGGGCGGGGGTGGTTTCACCATGTTGGCTAGGCTGGTCTCGAACTCCTGACCTCAGGTGATCTGCCCACTTTGGCCTCCCAAAGTGCTGGGATTACAGGCATGAGTCACTGCATCTGGCCAATATCACCATCTTTTTTAAGCTCCTACTCTGCATGGGAGCTATGATATTCATGATCCAAATGACAGGCAATCCTCACATCATCAGCACTGGGACTTGGAATAAGTTTGCTGCTCTTTTGGATGTGGCTTTGTTGTCTGTCTTCTGCATCCACAAAGAAAAAGGTAGGAACTAATGTTTCCTGGGTACCTGCTATGTTCCAAGTATTGTAGTTAGTTGGCAAGTAATGTAACTCGATTCCCTTGCTTCTCCTCTTTCTTCATGCAGTCAACTTTTCAAGTCCTTTCCTGTCCTCCAGGCTGTAGTAGACAACGATACCTGTGAGTCAGATGCAGAAACATAGTGTAAAGCACAAGAGATCAGTCCTAGACAAGTGGAAGTTAAATATTTGCTTAAATGACTTTTTCTCTTCTAATTGCTGATCACAATGGATCTCAAACTTTTAAAAAGTATAGCACACTTTTTGTCAGTAAATAAATAATGAAATTAAAATTTTAGCAAAGCAGAGATGCTATTCTGGTCGAAGGGGTTCGTGAGTACAGCCTGGATCTCCAACCTCCATGACCTCCAGGAACATTCTCACAGGTCCTGAGAGATTTTGGGATATTCTGTGGATCAGAAAAACAATTAGTAGCAGCCACCTCTACCAAGGGAATTCTCTGCATAACAGAATGTTGTTAAGTTTTCATATGCATCATCATTTTGACACTCATATTATTATAAGATTTATTATTGTTATTATTAGTTTCAGTATTAGTATCAGCATTATCATCCCCCTTCTGCAGAAGAGTACACAAAGGCTGAAAAGGTTTAAATATCTTCCTTAGGTGGTAGAGCCTGAATTTAACTCTAATTAGTTTGACTCTGAAGCCATCATTCTTAACCATCATTTGTTTATCCCTTCATTCAACAAATATTTACTGGGTACTGTCTATAGGTTGAGCATGCCCTGTGTAGACAAAACAAGCACAAATTTCTGCATTTGTGGAGCTGACAGTTTAGTTTGGGAAAGTGAATGGGTAGGATATAGACAATAAATCAAACAAGTAAGTAAGAAATAGTATGTTAAGCCAGGCGCAGTGGCTCATGCCTGTAATCCCAGCACTTTGGGAGGCTGAGGCGGGCAGATCACCTGAGGTCGGGAGTTCGAGACCAGCCTGGCTAACATGGTGCAACCCTGTCTTTACTAAAAATACAAAAATTAGCTGGGTGTGGTGGTGTGTGCCTGTAATCCCAGCTACTCAGGTGGCTGAGGTAGGAGAATCACTTGAATCCTAAAGGTGGAGGTTGCGGTGAGCTGAGATTGCACCATTGCACTCCAGCCTGGGTGACAGAGTGAGACTCCATCTCAAAAAAAAAAAAAAAAAGAAAAAGAAAAAGTATCTTAGATAGTGATAAGTGCTCTGAAGGACAATAAGGTAGAAAAGGATAATAAAGAATATTGGGTAGGTTTAAAAATATGAATAGAGGCATCAGAGGCCTCATTAAGGTGAGTAGTATGTCATTTTAGCTAACTTTGAAAAGTAAAACAACCTTGGGTCAAATAAAGGAAGATACCGTTAAATCAAAACTTATTCAATAATACTAGGTAAATGGTAAAGTGAACACAGTCTTTAAAAGCCTTTCAGTGGGTCAAACTGACAGGCAATGGTTACATTAACCATTAATACGTCTTAAGATTCATTAAAAAATGAATTCCCCATATCTGGCGTCTTTGTCTAGAGAATAGAAATTCTTCGCTATGGGAGAAAAGTTACCCACAGACATGTGCTCAGGGTGTTTTGCAGAAGCTGTGGATGTCGGGCATTCCATTTGTCAGCAGCAGTCACTCAGTGTGTGCTCGTTTTGACGGTGACTGCTGGTTTTGATGAGGAAGGATTTCCTTGCTGATTTCATCTGAACGTTGGTGCATTCTATTCCTTTACAGTTTGCTTGGCAGCTGTTCTATTGCAAATCCAGGCGAGATCTGATAAATTTAGCACTGATTAAAAACTGAATCCTTGAGCTATAAGGTGGGTTAAGGTATGATTGCTTAGCATAACTGCTTTCTTTTCCTCTTAGGGAAATAGCTTACTAGGGAAGCCTGGTGCAAAACATACAATTTGATCTCAAACTTCTTAATTGCCCATTAACTTAGGCAATTACTTGCTCTCTAAAAAACGTCTAGGCTTTTTGTGAGACCTAGTTGTTGTCTGCAAGTCACCTGTAATAAAAACCACAGTAACAGACCACAAAATCTTCAGCAAAAGAGAAGGAAGACCGAATTTGCACCTGACTGTTAGGCTGGCTGTGAAGTTACAGTTTTGTAAGCGATAAGGGTAGCAGCCATCAATTAGAAATCCTCATGGACTTGATGATTGAATTATTACACAGAGCAGGCGTTGCATGTGGGCAAAACAGAGCCTCCCACACACTCCAGTTCAACAGACTCTTATTGAACAACTGCCATGTGCCAGGCTTTGGACAAGGTGCTGAGTTTGCAGTGATGCATAGTGATGGTAGGGTAATTATAGGGTGACTAAGCCACCTTATAATTGAGTCAAAATGTTGACTTCGGTGGACTGACAAGAATGCCACCTATCCACCACTGGGATCATTTCTTTGTGCTAGGATATTTTCTCCTGAAAGTCCTCGTCTAATGCAAATGTATTGCCTGGAAAAGGGTAAGCCATTAACCATTACATGTGTTGGCAGAGCTTAGACTTCCCACAGAATGGGCGATTCACTTATTTAGAGAATACTTATTGAGTGCCTACTATGGGGCAGGCACTGTTTGAGTGAAGCAGACATTAAATTCCTGCTCTCAAAAATTTACAAATTTGATGAAAAGAGAGAGAAGAACAGATGAACACATACTTAATATTTATTTATTTATTTTTGGAGTCAGGGTCTTGCTCCGTTGCCCAGGCTGGAGTGCAGTGGGTGGAGCAGTTGTAACTTACTGCAGCCTCCAACTCCTGGGCTCAAGCAATCCTCCCACCTCGGACTCCCAATTAACTAGAACTACAGGCATGGATCACCATACCTGGTTAATTTCTTAATCTTTTTGTAGAGATAGGGTCTGTCTCTGCTGCCCAGGCTGGTCTCAAACTCCTGGGCTAAAGTGATCCTCCCGCCTCAGCCTCCCAAAGTGCTGGGATTACAGGCGTGAGCCACCACACCCAGCCAAATACATATTTAGATTGATAGTGAAACATACAGCTGGGTAAAGGAATAGGGAGAGAGATGAGGCTGGGGCATGAGTACTTCTACACTGGGTTTTCAGGAAAGAGCTCTTTAAGAAAGTAGCATTTGGACAGACTGAAAGGAAGTGAGGGAGAGAGTCAAGCATCTAAGCAGCAGGGTCAGGGAGTGTCAAGGCTGTGAGGAGGAGGGGCTCTGGATGTGATTCAGGAATATGTTAAGGAGTCCAGTGTGGCTGGAGTGGAGAGGTCCAGGGAGTCATAGCAGCAGAGGAAGTTTGAGAGGTAGCATAGGGGAGATCACGTAGGAAAATATACCAGTAGATGTGGACGGGAGGGTAGACCCTGGTACAACTAGCTGCTGGGCACTAGATAGAAGACATGAGAGAGGTGGGCACATGAAAAGGAAAAGCAAAACTGGAAGAGAGAAATCAGTGTCCAAGCACCACTTTATCCTCTCTCATATTTTTCTTTCTTTTTTTTTATTATTATACTTTAAGTTTTAGGGTACATGTGCACAACGTGCAGGTTTGTTACATATGTATACATGTGCCATGTTGGTGTGCTGCACCCATTAACTCATCATTTAGCAATAGGTATATCTCCTAATGCTATCCCTCCCCCCTCCCCCCACCCCACAACAGTCCCCGGTGTATGATGTTCCCCTTCCTGTGTCCATGTGTTCTCATTGTTCAATTCCCACCTATGAGTGAGAACATGCGGTGTTTGGTTTTTTGTCCTTGCAATAGTTTGCTGAGAATGATGGTTTCCAGCTGAAACCTACATGTCCCTACAAAGGACATGAACTCATCATTTTTTATGGCTGCATAGTATTCCATGGTGTATATGTGCCACATTTTCTTAATCCAGTCTATCATTGTTGGACATTTGGGTTGGTTCCAAGTCTTTGCTATTGTGAATAATGCCGCAATAAACATATGTGTGCATGTGTCTTTATAGCAGCATGATTTATAGTCCTTTGGGTATATACCCACTAATGGGATGGCTGGGTCAAATGGTATTTCTAGTTCTAGATCCCTGAGGAATCGCCACACTGACTTCCACAATGGTTGAACTAGTTTACAGTCCCACCAACAGTGTAAAAGTGTTCCTATTTCTCCACATCCTCTCCAGCACCTGTTGTTTCCTGACTTTTTAATGATTGCCATTCTAACTGGTGTGAGATGGTAGCTTATTGTGGTTTTGATTTGCATTTCTCTGATGGCCAGTGATGGTGAGCATTTTTTCATGTGTTTTTTGGCTGCATAAATGTCTTCTTTTGAGAAGTGTCTGTTCATGTCCTTTGCCCACTTTTTGATGGGATTGTTTTTTTTTTTTTTTTTTTCTTGTAAATTTGTTTGAGTTCATTGTAGATTCTGGATATTAGCCCTTTGTCAGATGAGTAGGTTGCGAAAATTTTCTCCCATTTTGTAGGTTGCCTGTTCACTCTGATGGTAGTTTCTTTTGCTGTGCAGAAGCTCTTTAGTTTCATTAGATCCCATTTGCCACATTTTCTTAATCCAGTCCATCATTGTTGGACATTTGGGTTGGTTCCAAGTCTTTGCTATTGTGAATAGTGCTGCAGTAAACATATGTGTGCATGTGTCTTTATAGCAGCATGATTTATAATCCTTTGGGTATATACCCAGTATTTTTCTGTTGAAGACTGGTCCCTCACTGTGCATCATGATTTCCCTTAATGTTATACACTCAATCTTGCCTTGGACTGACTCACAGCTGGCCCCAAATCCATCTGCTTTTGCTATTGCTTTCTTTGCCTCCTTCTCCTGGGCCACCTTCTTGGAAAACCAACTAAACTGGACTGAGAGTCAGAAGATGTGGTTTCTAGCGCCAGCTCTGCCACTGGCAAACATGTGGGTTGGGGCATGTCCTCATTTTTTGAGTGAGAGATCTCAGGACCAGAGAGAGGAAGTTCAGCCTGAGCTTCCTAGAATACATAAGCACCTGGTCTCAACACAATTTTGACTGTATTCATACTTTTAGTCTTACTCTGGTTTTCTGTGTTGATGCACATGCTCTTTGACATTCTAGTCGAGTAAATGCCCAGTAGAGGCTTCCATGGAATCTTAAAGAATACCAGTTTGTGGATGAGGCGCTTGGTTTCACTAGAAACACATGCCCTCAAATCTGTGATTTCCTGTTTTAGCTCCCTACAAATCACCTGAGAGCTTGCTTAAATGCAGACTTCTGGAAAACATCCACAGATTTTGGATTCAATAAGTTTGGGGTGAGGCACAGGATGCTATCATTTTAATAAGGGCCCCAGGAAATCCTGAGTCAGATGGAGATGGGCCATTGTTTGAGAAACACTGAGATGCATGGCAGTAATCACTGTAATGTTGTAATTGTAATTATTGTAATGGTGGGGTGGTGTAGGTGGTGGCAGCAGCAATGATAATGCTAGTGCTTACAGATAGTAGAAGTGGAGGTGGTCATAGCAGTGGTGATGCCAATGGTAGTCGTGGTGATGGTGATAGTGGCTGCATTGGTATTGATGGTGCTGGTGGTAGTAGGAATGATGGTATTGGTTGCAGATAGTAAAAGCAGTAATAGTGGTGTTGGTGGTAGTGGTGGTGATGGTGGCTGTGGTAGCAGAGATGGCAATGATCGTTTTCAGGTGCAATGGCATCGCTGCTATTGCTTAGTTTCCCTGGAGATCCATCAGACCTGATGAGGAAGAGTGCGCAACAGCCAGTGTAGCTCAGCTTCTGTTTCTCTAGGTACCTGGACCTCTAATGACGTCACCTTTTCCTGAAAAACAACTCTCTAGAGCTGATATTATGAATTGACTGCCAAGGTTCTTCCAAATGACTACAGGCATTATTCCTTATCTCCAGCTAAATAGCTCATGTTTACTGAGCACTTATTATGTGCTAAGCATTCTACTTGGATTTTCTCATTAAGTACTTAATACAGACTTATGAAATAGATGCTATTATTATACCTGATTGAAAGGTGGGGAAACTGACGGTCAGGAGATTTAAATGATAGCTAGTAAGTGGTTGAGTCAGACTTAAGCAAAGCAAACTTTTAGTGAATTCTGGAGTTAGGTTGTGTGGGCTATTCAATCAGTTTCTATGTGTCTGGCGCATGGCAGAAACTTATTAAATGCTTGAATGAATAAATACAGCAAGATGACAGTTTAAGAATGAACCAGGTAATTCAGAGTACTAAATCCATATTAAATTCATTTTAGTCTACACAGAAATGAAGTAACACTAAAATCTGAGCATTTGCCAGGTGATGGCAAGTATTCATTTCCATCATCTAGCCCAGTACCTGGCACATAGTTAATGCCCTCTGTAAATTCTTATCACAGCAATCAATCAATGAAATGTTTTTCTCATAGAGTTTGGTGAATAACTTACAACAATATACTCACAGATGATTCAAAGAGTATTTGACTTGTATATATTGTTTTAAATAGTTGGAACCTAATAATGCAGTTTTATAAAATACAGTGAAAGGGCTTGTCCTAAAGGGCATGTCAGGATACATGTGAGAAAGGATGAATTTGTCCTTTGCAGACAACCTTGCATTAGCTGTAGCAGAATGAGCCGTTGCCTACCTGGGCTGGGGAAGGTGGCACCTCAGTATCTCCCTCAGCTTCTCCCTGGCACTTTAAATCCCTTTATGAAGAGGGCAGTTGTAATTCTCAATAAGATTGAAGGCTTCAAATGCAACTGACCCCTGGGGAGGAATGGATTTGGCTTAAGTTTGCTCTGAAAGGAAGGTGGCTGGGATCTGTCTCTCCTGAGAGCACACTGGAATTGGTGAGGGTGAATGGGGGACGAGTGGGGAGATGTCTAAAAGAAGGTTGTAGGGATAAAGGGCTGCTGTGGTTTCACCAACTTTAAGTGCTTTCATAGGTTCTTCCTGGATTCTGACATCTTTTCCCCTCTCATATTTTTGACTACTCCTCCATATTCCTATTAAATGCCATTTTTGCTCCAAGAGAAGCATAAATCTGTTCAGGATTGAACAGTGTCCTATCTTGTCTTTGGGAAGAAATGACCTGTGTGGATTCCACTATCCTATACCTGGTGAATGGATGAGCCCATAGACTGAGGACTCTACCCCTGGCTGTGTGATGCTCTCAAATTCATGCCCTCTAGTCTTACAGCAGTAAGACTGCCCAGGTTCTCAGCTTTCTCTATGCATTTCTTTGTAGCTTTCCCCTTGAATCCACAAACTCCTTTTAGCTGGAAATTTTAAAAGCAGCAAGAAACAAAGCTTTTCTGAAGGAACAGGGGCCTCCGAGGAAAGCAATTACCATCTTTGGTTATGAAAGAGCACTCTTAAGAGAATTATGTTTAAATATTCCAGCCCCGTGTCCCTTTGCCTTTCCTACAAGAAGGTTTTCTGACGAATAGCAGAAGAATGAGACAGGCCCTAGCCACCTGAGAGGACTAGCTCTAGCTAAACTCCATGGTCTAGATAAATGAATGGTGCTGTGCTTTCAGCTTTGATTTGGTCTGATAGAGCATTTTAAATAAATGTTCCACTAACTCCAAAGCGTTTCGGTCTGCAAGCCGTTTAAGAACATGTAAACTGGACTTAATACAGTCATCATTTTTCTCCAGGGATGATATTCTTGAGAGTCTTCACAGTGCTAACAGTTTGCCAGTCACACAGTAAATTTCCCAAGGACCTAGCAGGGATGTGCAGTTACAGCACTCAGCAGGGAACTTTGTACATTGTTGCCAATTCTCAGTGTGGGTTAAAAGAGAAGCCCTGATTGGAAAGGGTGGTGTCATGTTAAGGGATAGCTTAAGATGGCTACTTTGTTTTTTTGTAAGAAAAGTAACAATAATGAACTTGACTTGCCTCATTGTCTCACAGATGAGTGTTTGTACCCGTGCAGATGTCATTTTCTACCAACATGTGTTAATTCCACAAACATTCATTATGGGTCTGTTCTATTTCAGCTCTCTATAGGGTGACAGGGTAAAAGCATGAACAAAGCAAAGTCCCTTCCTTCAGGGCTATCATTTGTTAGTAGGAAAGACAGAAATATAAGCAAATAATTACAATAGTTTAAGTGCAATAATAGAGTCATTATCTGGATGTTAGCTGGTCCTCTGTGACCATTGGTGAACAAGGGAAAATTGGCTTAACCACTCTTCTCACTTCTCCAGTTTCATCCACGTGGATCCCCAAAGTCTTCCTCTACTATACTTCCTCTTCAGGGTCTCAAATTCTCCTCCTGATTTCACATCAGGGAGTCCCACCACAGTCTTTGTGGCTTGGGAGCCAGTGGACGCCTACGCCTTCAGGAATTCTGCTCCTATTAAGATAAGTTTTTCACTTGAATTCAAAAGTATATACCAGGAAAGGAAAGAGTGTGATTCACTCCTCTTGCAGATCATGAAAGACTTCACACAGAATAATGATTGATCCGGATCTTGAAGACTCAGTAAGAGCTTTGTAAATGTCAAATGCTGTGCCTGAGAAGCACACGATACCATCCTCCGCAGAAGCAGCAATGCTTTGCCACCCTTCCCGCAGCTGGGTTGTTAAGACTGGCAGTCCTTAATACTCTGGTTCTCAGCCACAAAATGAACTTGCCTCTCTCTAAGCAGCCTGCTACTCTGTAACTTGACAACAAACATTCCTTGAGTGCTACTGTAAGAATGGAGATGTCATGGAGTGTGTGTGTGTGTGTGTGTGTGTGTGTGTGTGTATGCATGTGTGTATTTAAGATGACAGATTCTATATATATTAATCGAGATTCTGTATTTTAAGGGACAGGTCAGGTGAAAGTAAATCAGTGTGAGTGCTCTACTATCCAGTAGAATGTAGGCAAACAAAACTGATAATGTTTTCTTTATTACAAAACACACAAGGAAAGGAAGAGTTTCAATAAAAGTCTTGCAGTGCTCCTAAGTGTTAGGCTAATGCAGCCCTAAAATCCCAGCTGGGAGTACATAGGACAAGAACCCGGAGTGGTTAAATTGCCAATGGCAAATCGGATGACCCTGGCTCACATATTAAAAACATGATTTCCATCAATCACTTCCTAATCTACACTTAGGCAGTTCATGAATAAAAAGGAGCCTGGCCATATTTCTCTTTTTCTCTTTTCTCAGTGGTTTTAGAGGTGAAGATAATGAGGGCTGAGAGAGGGAGACCATACGCAGGGCACTATTGGATATCTGTCTGCTTTAAAGGTTTCTAACCCACGAGCTACACTCCACCTTCTACTCTGAGCAGATCTCTCAGAGGCACACAGCGGGAACTCTATTCTAATGACCCTGTCCATGCCCAAAGTACCCAGTAGGACCATTAACTTCATTGATCCTCTTACGATGATCAAAGGAGGTTATGAGGAGGAAGGGGCTAGGAGAGAGACATTACAAAGCTCTGTTTCTGAGTGGTGTACTGTCTGTTTCTTTCCTCCAGACAGTGATAAGTAGAGACATGATCGCTGCTCAAGTTAACAATATGTACTGAGCTCCCAATTGAGAGGTCAAGAGCTCTGGTGTAGAAGTCACACAGACTGGGTTTGAATCCCAGCTCTTCCGCAGCTTACCAGGCATGGGACCCAGGCAAGATGCCCAGCCCATGCCTCAGTTTCTCATCTGAGAAATTATAAACCTACCTCAAAGCAATACTCTAAAGAATAAGAAAGTTAATATACTGCAAGCCCACAATGTAGTAAACACGCAACAATCAATAGCAGTAGTGTGACATTTTAAGCGACATGAAATAATCTATGAATATTTTTTCAAAAAAGATCATATTCAAAGCAGCCAATTAATTCTTTTCTCTTAGAAAACAAGATATTTAGCTTGCCTATTTTGGATTTGAGTGGTTCTAATGGGAAAAGTCAGATTATAAAACTTTATTGAAAAACTAAATGGAAAAATATTGGCCAGGTGCAGTGGCTCACACCTGTAATCCCAGCAATTTGGGAGGCCAAGGTGGGCAGATAACCTGAGGTCAGGAGTTCGAGACCAGCCTGATCAACATGGTAAAACCCCATCTGTACTAAAAATACAAAAATTAGCCAGGCATGGTGGCACATGCTTGTAATCCTGGCTACTCGAGAGGCTGAGGCAGGAGAGTCACTTGAGCCCAGGAGGTGGAGCTTGCAGCGAGCCGAGATCATGCAACTGCACTCGAGCCTGGGCAACAGAGCAGGACTCTGTCTCAAAAATAAATAAATGGAATAATATTTAGACATTTTGTACAATTTAGTATGGAGAGAAACTAAAATGGAAGAAAAATGTTAAAACTGATGAGAGTGTGAGCAAAGAAAAGGAAGAGATTTTAGTAAGGCAGCAAGAAGGTGGAAAGGACAGGTGAAAAGAAGAAAAGAGAGATGCATTAGGCGTTGAAGGGTGTGTTAGCTAGAGGCCTTGCTTCTGAATATCAGGACTCATTCTTTCTGCCTTTTCAAATATTTATTAACTCATTAACCACTGTTCCCAATACTTAGTTACCTTTGAAATAATCATAGGGCATGAAAGTAGACAACCAGCTAATGAAAATACAGAACAAGAAAAGAGGTTGAAACTGGAAAGAGAGAATAGGAAATCATAAACACAGAGCAGGAAGAAAAAATACCAAAGACAAATTCTTCTAAAGGAGAGAGGCAAAAAAGGCCAGGAAGTAACCTTTGGAGAAAGCGTGTAGTTGAGCACAGGGAAAAGACGGAGGAGGATGGGCTGAGCAGGGCAATGCCCAGAAAGACGAAGCAGAATAGAATTTTATGAAAGAAGAGGTGGCTGACAGTATCAAATATCATAAAGGTCAAATGGGATAAGGGCTATAAACATTCAAATCTGCCTTGAATGAGATTGACCTTTGGTGTGGTAATAGTGAGATGATCTTTCTGGAGAGCAGTTTGGCAACATGTTTTAGTGTCTTAAAAATGTTTATATCCTTTGACCCAGCATTTCTACTTCTAGGAACTTACCTTTAGAAAACAGTCAAAGATTTAATTTAGAAAAGTAAAACATGAGAGTTTAAAAATATTTAAATATTTTATAAGAGCAAAATGTAACAAACATCTTTAGTGAACAAGAAGAAATGAATTAAATGAACTGAATATCCGTAGGGTTAAATACTACATAGTTCTGAAAAATCACGTTTTTAAGTAAACCTTTCAAAATAGAAATATACCATTCACACAGAAAAGTGTTCAAATCCTAAGTGTGCTGTTCTATGAATTTTTACAAAGTGATCACACTCTGTAACCACCATCCAGATCAAGAAATAGAACAATTATCAGCATCTCAGGAATTTCTTTTGTGAGCCCTCCTGATCATTGCTCCTCCAAAGATAATCATTATCTTGCCTTCTATCATCATCATAGGCTAGTTTTAGCATATTTGGGAACTATATATATGGAATTGTATATGCTCTATGGTGTGTGTTCTTTTGCTCAAATGAACTATGTTCATGAACTCTTTTCATGCGGTAGCATGTAACAACAGCTTATTTTCATTGCTATATTTACCCTGTTATACAAGTATATCACAAAGTATCTATTTTATTGTTGATGAAATTTGGGCTGCCTCAAACAATTCTCCCACCCTGCAAAGGACATGATCTTATTTCTTTTTATGGCTGAATAATATTGCATGACGGGCGTGTACTATGTTTTCTTTATCCAGTTTATCACTGATGACATTTGGGTTGATTCTATGTCTTTGTTATTGTGAATACTGCTGCATAAACATATGTGTGCATGTGTCTTTATAATAGAATGATTTATATTCCTTTGGGTATATACCCAGTAATGGGATTGCTGGGTCAAATGGTATTTCTGGTTCTAGATCCTTCAGGAATTGCCACACTATCTTCCACAATGGTTGAACTAATTTGCATTCCCATCAACAATGTAAAAGCGTTCCTATTTCTTCACAGCCTCTCCAGCATCTGTTTCTTGACTTTTTAATAATCACCATTCTGAGCGGCATGAGATGGTATCTCATTGTGGTTTTGATTTGCATTTCTCTAATAATCAGTGATGTTGAGCTTTTTTTTTTTTCATATGTTTGTTGGCCACATGAATGTCTTCTTTTGAGAAGTGTCTGCTCATGTCCTTTGTCCACTTTTGAATGAGTTTTTTTTCTTGTACATTTAAGTTCCTTGTAGATTCTGGATATTAGACCTGTATCAGATGGGTAGATTGCAAACATTTTCTCCCATTCTGTAGGTTGTCTCTTCACTCTGGTGATAGTTTCTTTTGTTGTGCAGAAGCTCTTTAGTTTAATTAGGTCCCATTTGTCAAATTTTGCTTTTGTTGCAATTCCTTTTGATGTTTTAATTATGAAATATTGGCCTGTGCTTATGTCCTGAATAGTATTGCCTAGATTTTCTTCTCTCTCTTTTTATAGTTTTGGGTGTTACATTTAAGTCTTTATTCCATCTTGAGTTAATTTTTGTATAAGGTATAAGGAAGGGATCCAGTTCCAATTTTCTGCATATGGCTAGCCAGTTCTCCCAGCACCACTTATTAAATAGGGAATGCCTTTCCTCATTGCTGTTTTTGTAAGGTTTGTCAAAGATCAGATGGTTATCGATGTGAGAGATCTCTATTCTGCTCCATTGTGTCTGTTTTGGTACCAGTACCATGCCGTTTTGGTTGCTGTAGCCTTGTAGTGTTTGAAGTTGGGTAGTGTGATGCTCCAGCTTTGTTCTTTTTGCTTAGGATTGTCTTGGCTATACAGGCCCTTTTTTGGTTCCATATGAATTTTAAAGTAGATTTTTCTAATTCTGTGAAGAACGTCAATGGTAGTTTGATGGGAATAGCATTGAATCTGTAAATTACTTTGGGCAGTATGACCATTTTCCTATCTACGAGCATGGAAAACTTTTCCATTTGTTCGTGTTCTCTCTTATTTTTCTTGAGCAGTGGTTAGTAGTCTTCCTTGAAGAGGTCCTTCACATCCCTTGTTAGCTGTATTCTTAGGTATTTTATTCTCTTTGTAGCATTTGTGAATGGGAGTTCATTCATGATTTGGCTCTCTGCTTGCCTATTGTAGGTGTATAGGAATGCTTGTGATTTTTGCACATTGATTTTGTATCCTGAGACTTTGCTGAAGTTGCTTATCAGCTTAAGGAGCTTTTGGGCTGGGGTTTTCTAGACATAGGATATCATCTGGAAACAGAGACAATTCGACTTCCTCTCTTCCTATTTGAGCACCCTTTATTTCTTTCTCTTGCCTGATTGCCCTGGCCAGAACTTCTAATACTATGTTGAATAGGAATAGTGAGAGACGGCATCCTTGTCTTGTGCTGGTTTTCAAGAGGAACGCTTCCAGCTTTTGCCCACTGAGTATGATATTGGCTCTGGGTTTGTCATATATGGCTCTTACTATTTTGAGATATATTCCTTCAGTACTTAGTTTATTGAGAGTTTTTAACATGAAGGGATGTTGAATTTTATCGAAGGCTAAAATACAGGCTCACAACCCATTTTTATTTAGTTTTTCTTTGTCTGAAAATGTTTTAATTGCACCTAAATTTATTAAGAATATTTTCTCTAAATACTAAATTTGAAGAAGGCAGTCTTTCTGTCAGTACTGTAAAGATATTACTCCATGCATGGAGCAATATCTTGATTTCTTCTTGATTCTATTTTTTAAAGAATCCAGTCTCAATATTATTGTTGTTGCTTGTACAATTATGTTGTTTTTTTCTGGCTGATTTTAAATTTTCTTTTATTATTCAGTTTCAGTAGTGTTGCTATAACTATAAAGCACCTTGGTCTGGCTTCCTTTAGGCCACCACACCCAGCCCCTTTCTTTTCTCTTAACCCCTGAAGATTTTCGTCTCCCTGCTTGGCCTGTATGCTGTGAAGTGCTTATAGATTAATAAATACCTTAAGGGGAAATATAGGAGAAATATTGATCTCACAGCAATGCATTTCCCTTTTCTCTGGGATACTGGCCCCTCAAAGCCTGGTTGCTTTGGTTGTTCTCCAGTGCCTTCTTATAGATGTATTTCTGATATTTTACCTCTATAATTACTGCCTGCCAAAGATTAATTTTATTACTACTCTATTACAGCCTGAAGAAGTTCCTAAAAATTAACGTTTTCAATGTTTCATCATATAGAAATATACTCCCAATGTAATATTAAATTTTAAAAAATTGCATTAAATAATGTAGTCACAATTTTGATTCCTAAACATATGAAACAAATTGTATAGACATTATATATATATAGTATAAAGTTGGAATTATACACATACCAACATATGAAAGATATATACTATAGTGGTTGATTCTAGGAAATGAGATTATACTGTTCCTTAATAGTTTTTAGTATTTTCCAAATTATCACAATGCTTTACTTTAGCAGTATAAAAAAGACCTATTATTTTAAAAATAAATGCTTTAGTAAAGTCTATTTAATAGCTTAAGAGAAAGTTAAGTTGCTAGACATTTTTATTTTCAGAAGAAGGCCTAGGGCCAGAGAAGGTTTAGTTTGGATTGGGCTAAAGACAATTGGCTGACTCCTAAGGGAGAGGTCAGCTTTCAGTATCTTATGCCGCTGGCACAGGCGCAGACTGTATGTGTTAGCAGTGTGGAAAGATAACAAGGATCATATTGGCCTTTTCAGCAAGTTTGGTGTGAGCTTTGGGAGTCAGATGAAATGGAACTTCCTTTAATTGGACTTTATTGAGCCATGCTGTTATCTTGGCTTCCCTTGTCTGGGGCACAGACCCTAGCATAGTTTTCCCTCCTGTAAATATACTACCCCCTCAGGGATGGGTTGGCATATTTGAGGAAATAACTGTAGTCTAATCTGTACATTTTTTCTCTTTTCCAGGGAAAAGAAGGACTATTACCACAATATCTGAAGGATGAGAACTTTTTGGAATTGTCCAACATCTCAAAAGTATTCAATTCACAAAAATTATTCTCATTCTGAAGTATTCCCCTAGTAGAATAGTGCCTCGTGGCTTATGTATTCTGGTGCTCTCTGCTCCCATTATTCTAAATTAAATTGGTGCTAGTATTATGGAATTACTCCATAGCTTCTCCACTGCTGACTTTAATTTATCCTCGTTGGCAAATGTAGCGCAGCATGAAATAGTGATTAAGCACCCAGGCCCTGGGACAGACAGTTTACGTTCAAACCCCAGCTCATGTGTTTATTCCTTAAAAAGTTTTGTTTTTTTTGTTTTTTTGTTTTTGTTTTTGTTTTTGTTTAGTTTCTGTGATGAGTTGCATTCTGCTTTTCAAGCAGTGTGACCTGTTAGTGGTACTATCTTAGACAATTAACCCAATCTTTATGTGGTTCAGTTAGAACAATAGCAAGAGAAGTTTAAGTTTGACTCATGATTTATAGTTTGTAATTTCATATATCTTACATCATTTGATCCTTAGAATGTAGTTAAGTTGTCAGGACAGGTCTTATTATATCAATTGTTTCATAAAGAAGAAGGTTGTTTTAGAACTTTTAATGATATCGAATTCTCCCTACTAGTTTTACAGACAATAAAACTGAATTTAAGTAACATTCTCATAGTCATAAAGTTAACAGTACTGATGGAAGTAAATCCAGATACTAATTGATTTCAGATAAAACATACTATTATGCTGTCTGTTTTTTAGCATAACAAATAGAAAGATGCTAAAACAGAAATAATCAAATTTATTTTGATTTTGATTTTGAATTTGGATAGTCAAATTTCCTATAACCTGATTTGGATGTAGAGGAAAAAAGTGTCTGGGAGGTCAAACATTTTAGCCTTTCCCCTTCACTCTTCCTCCCCTCATTTTATCTGAATCAGAAACTCGGGTCCCTAGTTCAGTGTACTTCTTACCATATAGCTCGGTTTCTAGGAATACTTCATCTGAAGACTTCAGAAGTAGATTTTATTGTGCATATTTGGGGTTTGCAACATGATGTTACAGGATACACGTAGATGTAAAATTATTGCTATAGTGAAGAAGATGAACATATTTTCATCTCACATAGTTCCTTTTTTCTGTGGCAAGAGCAGCTAAGATCTACTTATTTCATAAAAATCCCTAACACAGCCAGACGTGGTGGCTCACACCTGTAATTCCAGCACTTTGGGAGACCGAGGCAGGTGAATCACAGGGTCAGTAGTTGAAGACCAGCCTGGCCAAGATGGTGAAACCTGTCTCTACTAAAAATACAAAAAATTGGCTGGGCACGGTGGCAGGTGCCTGTAATCCCAGCTACTCGGGAGGTTGAGGCAGGAGAACCGCTTGAACCTGAGGGGCGGAGGTTGCAGTGAGCCGAGATGGCACCACTGCCCTCCAGCTTTGGGCACGGAGTGAGACTCCATCTCAAAAAAAAAAAAAAATCCCTAATACAATCTAATTGTATTAACTTTAGTCCTCATGTTGTACATAAGTTCTCTAGACTTGTTCATCCTACATACCTGCTACCTTGTATGCTTTGACCTCCATCTTCCTATTCCCCCCATTGTAGCCACGGTTTCATTCTCTATTTCTGTATATTTAACCTTTTTAAAAAAGATTCTAAATATATGTGAGATCATGCAACTTTTTTTCTTTCTGTGTCTAGCTTATATCACTTAGCATGATGTCCTCTGTGCCCAAAATGTGGTGGCAAATGTCAGCATCCCCCTTTTTAAAGGCTGAGTAATATTCCATTGTGTATATATACCACCTTTCCTTTATCCTTTCCTTCATTAAAAAGCACTTAGGTTGTTTACATATCTTGGCTATTGTGAATAATGCTGCAATAAGCATGAGAGTTCAGATACCTTTAGGAGGTGTTGATTTCATCTCCCTTGGGTGTATATCCAGAAAAGGGATTGCTGGGTCATACAGTAGTTCTGTTTTTAATTTCTGTAGGAACCTTCATATTGTCTTTTGTAAAGGCTGTAGCAGCCTGCATTCCCACCAAGAGAGTACAAGGCTTCCCTTTCCTCCACAACCTCATCAACATTTGTTAACTTCTTATCTTTTTGATCATAGCCATCCAATAGCCTCTCATTCAATAGGGTGTGTGAGGTGGCTGCAGACTTTTGTTGACCATGGCAAGCAATCTACTTAGTTTTGACAATAACCCTAAGGAGAAGTAAGAATGAGAAGAGTTCCCTGTCTCTTCTGAAACAACTAAACTTTAAGTTACCTCATTTTGACCAATTTAAAATTGAGCTAAGTGTCATGTACTGAACAGATCTCTTCACTTTGCTTTTCAGATGTCAGTTATCATGGATGCCTATCATTTAAGGAATTTGCATGTATCTGGGCATTATTGATAGAATCCAGGTAAGATTATGCTGTTTTCACAGAAGCAAATGTTAGAACAGTAAATTTGAAGTTTAATTTTAGGTTGGCAAATTCATATGAGGAGATCTCTCATATGGTCTTGTTACCTTTGAGGGGATCTTACAGCTTAAGTTTTGTTTCCACACAGAATTTATTCATTTCCTTTCTGACCTGCAATGCAAGGTGCATGAGTAAAAGGTATACACTTAATTAGATGACTGTTTTCACAAAGGACTGTCAGGGGAAACACCAACAGAGAAATTAACTTTAAATATTGGATGAGGCATAAAATTGCTCATTTAAAAGAATATTTTTTTGCATTTTAATGGTTTTTTAATTTATCTGTTTATTTTTAAGGGACAGAGTCTTATTCTCTTGCCCAGGCTGAAGTGCAATGGTGCAATCACAGCTCCCTGTAACCTTGAACTCCTGGACTCAAGGGAGCCTTCTGCCTCAGCCTTCCAAGTAGCTAGGACTACTAGTGCATATCATCACACCCGACTTTCTTTCTTTCTTCCTTCCTTCCTTCCTTCCTTCCTTCCTTCCTTCCTTCTTTCCTTCCTTCTTTTCCCTCCCTTCCTCCCTCCCTCCATTTGTTCTTTCTTTCTTTCTTTAAAAGAAAAATTTTAAATAATGTTTGCTAAATAAACACTGATCTTTTGGATCACATGACTTCTAACACCATTTTATTTCTGAATTCAAATGGTTAAAAATCAAAGGGCAATAATCCTAAGGACTAGTGGAAAATAAGAAAAAAGAGCTTTTGAATGAAATTTGAGAGAAAATGGGAAATCAAGGAGCTGATAGATTGTTCTGAGGGTAGGAAACCAGTCATGATTAGATGCTTAAGATCTACAGATTGGGAGCTTGTCAATAGTGTTTTAAAGGAAGACAGAGAAGTTCATAGGAAGAGCATTCACTTCTACATGTGAAATTCAGGGGAAGCCTATTCTTCTCCTTAGGTGTGCATGTCTATGTAAATGTACATGCACAGTGCATATGTAACATGCATCAGAATTAACATTCATTCAGTACTCACTATGCCTTAGGCTCTGTTACCCTCTATGTATGTGTTTTCCTATTTAGTTCCCGTGACTGCCGTATGGTATAGCTACTTTTATTACCTTCATTTTACAGTACAGTTAAGCAGTTAGGAAATAAGGTCAATGTCACACAGCTAGAAAGTGGCAACATTTGGATTGCGTATGTGTGTGTGCGTGAACATACATTTCCAACATTTTGGCCTCTTAAATCCTTAACATCATATCAAATTGGGAGAATTCACCTGGGATGTTCTCAAAGAGAGTAAGATATGGGCTCAAGAAAAATAAGAAGTAAAACGACAAGGAGCAGCTGATGGTATCAGGAAGGCTTCTCATATCAGTGTCTAAGCAGAGGGTTAACATGCAGTCACAGGAGGAAACAGACAAAAAGGAAAGGTGAAAATGTTTGAATGTCTACACTCCTTTTTTAATTAAAATCAGGTTAATCAAAAATAATTTAATTATTCATATTTTAGGTTATTTCTATTTATAATGCTAAAAAGCGAGCATAAATGTGTATATTATCAGAAAGCAATTAAGATCGAAATCTCATATATACCTTAGAGAGATTTCACGGCCTTCCTCCGTGATTTTCCACCTATCTCCAGAAATATTCACAAAAGTC